>NC_000011.10:49150909-49453939 GCF_000001405.40 Homo sapiens | reverse complement strand
CTGTAAGATAGATCTTTATCATAATTATTTAGAGAGCCAAATGTCAGACCCACTGAAATAGCACCAAATATCAGACCCACTGAAATAGCACCAAATATCAGATCCAAGGGATGAACAGAGCTCTAAAGTAAATCAAAAGGCCAGAAATCAGGAGACTAAGAGGCAGTAAATCATGTGATTAAGATCATAGATTTTAGCATCAGACATGCCTCATTTTGAATCCCAAAGCTGCTACATCTAGCTACATAATCTCTGGCAAGCTGCTTATTCTTCCCTAAGCCTTCTTTTTCTCAGCCACAAAATGGTGCTAATATTTGTAGCCATCTAAAGTTACAGCTTTGATTTTTAGTATGATATTGTAAAAATATATATGTAAAAATGTTCTTAGCACACAATTACTAGATAGACAAGGAACTTGCTATTAAAATATTTGCATTCTAGTGAGGAGAAATATAAGCAAACCAGAAAAGAAATAAATAAGCACAAAATTCAGTTAAGCACTATGATGTGATATAATATCTATATATTTTATAAAGAAGTACTTGGGAGAAGGTTCCAGTTGAGATAGGCTACTTATAGCTGGCTTCTCTGAGGAAATGACCTATAATTTGACACTGAGACCATGGAAAAGGGGTAGCCATAGAAATCCCTCTGGGACAAGATTTTTAGGAAGCAGAAGGCACACATTTAAAGGTCCCATGGCAAAAAAAAGCTTGTCTTGCTTCAAGTTTGGAAAGACTAGAAAAGCTAACTATGGTAAACAAGAGGAACTTGGTGCAATATGAGATTGAAGAGATCAGCAGAGATCAACAGAGCCCTAAGTACAGTACAGAGGAAAGAGTTTAAATTATTTTAATCCAGGTGCTGAAATAATTTTTAGATTGACATTTTTAAAACTTGTCTTGGCTATTGTGACAAATAGACTATTAGAGTGAAAACTTCAAAAGTGACATGGATTACTCTATTGCATTGGTCTAAATGAGAAATGATAGTGATTTCAACCACAGAGGTGACAATGGAGCTATTGGGAAGAAGAAAACTGAACCATGTGTATTTCAGAGGTAAAACCAACAGGGCTTGTTAATGGACTATGTGATAATATAGATGTAGTCAGTAATTTTAAAAATAAAGAAAAAAGAGTAATGAAAGATTACTCCAATACTTAGAAGCATTAGAGAGAAGAGTGGAGATGTTTACTGAAGTAGAAAGGAGGGGTAAGTAATACATTTAGCAAAGAAAATGAACTAAAGTTCTCTTTGAACATCTTTGGGTCTTTTTAGGATAGGGCAAATAGATACCCAAAAGAGGCTGCCAAGTAGTCAGTTGAATCTTGGAGTATCAAGCTCAAAAGAGAGAACCAGGTTAGATACATGTATTTGGTAGTTTTAGCCTTATCTATTTAGCATTAATCACTTCATGTTATTTAATCATTTAAGTTTCAAAACTTAATTATTTAGCATTATTTAAAATCAATGGAGTGAATGAGGTCACAGGAATTGAGTATAAACACAGAAGAAAAGGAAGCAGTCTGGCATACCCCATCATTAAAAGGATGAGCCGATACAGATGAATCAACAAAAGCAAAGAAGACAGAGGGTCATTGACCAGTGAGGAAGAAGAAAAACAAGGACATTAAGCCACAAAAGCCATGTAGCAAAAAAAAAAAAAAAAAAAGTGGAAAAATAAATCATGTACTCTTAAGAGATCAATAGAATGAGGAAAGAAAAGTACCTGTTGGGTCTGAAAATACAAGGATGATCATGCCCTTGGCAACAGAAAAGTTTCAGTAGAATGGAAGCTTCAGGAGCCAGACTGGAGCAGATTCTAAACAAATCTTTTGAAAAGTTTTCACAAAAAAAGGAGCATTTTAAAGTGGGAAGCTGGAAAGGGGATATGAACAAGAAAGGAGGATTTGAGATTTTCTTTTTAAGAGAGAGTTTATGTATTAGAGAATGATTATATGTTGTTGAAAATGAAAACATTCAGAGAAAGAGACATAGGAGAAAAAGGAAAAAACTGCCACAGCAAGGTACTGGATATGTGAAATCTAAAGCCCAATGGAGAGAGGAGCCTTTGCCATGAGTTGGGAGGAACCTTCCTTTATGCCTGAATGGAGACACAGGATAGAGTATAGATGCATGTATTGTTCTTGGACAAATTAGGGTGTACCGATCTAGTTATTTCTATTTTCTTATTCAAGTGTGAAGGGAGGTCATCAGTTCTTAAGGGGCTGGGGGCTGACTAGGAGAATAAGAATTAGAAAGGAAGAGTTTGTGTAAGTTAGAGAAAACAATATTAGACAAATCATCCATTATTTATGTCATTAAATATATCAGTGGTCTGAATTTAGGAAGCATGCTGGTCTGGACAACAGGAAAGAACTATAGTGTCATGAGTTTCATTATTATCTGCTTGATATTACACAAGGCATTTCCATATAACCATCCTCTTTAATCCCTACAAATGAATATTCATTATTTCCTTTTTTAAAGTCTGAAGGCGGAGGCAAAGAAAGATTAAATAATTCACCCAAAGTTTTAGCACTATTAATTGACTAAAATTAGGACTTTAACTCACTTCTGTCTTACTTGAAAGTCCCTGTGTTTTGATTCTGTCATTATATCAATTAGGACGTAACTGATAATACCAAAAACATTATTTATAGGGTGGTATATTAGTTTTCTAGGGCTACCATAACAAAATACCACAGACTAGGTGACTTACAAAACATAAATTTATTTTCTCACAATTCTGGGGACTAGAAATCCAAGATCAAGGTGACTGCAGGGTTGATTTATTCTAAGGCCTCTCTCTTTGACTTGCAGCTGGCCATATTCTTGCTGTGCCTTCATACAGTCTTCCCTGTCTGTGTGTCTGTGTCCTAACCTTCTCTTCATATAAAGATACCAGTCATATTGCATTAGGGTTCACCCTGATAAGGTCTTTAAAAACTTTGTCTTAAAATACACTCACATTCTGAGGTACTTGGGATTAGGACTTCAACATACAAATTTTGCAGGGAAGCAATTCAGCCTGATACAAGCAGTGAGAAAGAAAGTCAAACTGTAGTGGAATAATGACAGACTTGAAGTTGAAAATGTTAAATCAGACCTAGCTTTTAAAATTGTGATGATAAAATAGAGAAATAAGAAAACAAATAATTTGAGGGGAGCAAGAATTAAGAAAATAGTATTTTAGAATGATTTTTTTATTTTAAGATACAGGTGACTGAATCTATATTTTAAGTGAAATTTGCTGAAGAAATGAGAGAAAAAACATTAAAGCATGTTGAAATGTTTAAATAGGTACTATAAAACATATGGCTTTAATTCCAAAAGATATTCTGCAGGGAAATTATCTCAGATTTTCCTCAAAGGAAAAATGAATTAAAGAACAATAACTAATGTATAAAATATCTATAAGAAATGCTATTTTGAAAACCTCCTTTGCCAAATTATTCATAACATATCTGTTTATCATATGACTGTTTATTAATGTAATTTTGATGACATAAGGGTTTCCTGAAGTATCAAAACAAATTTTTGCTTGTCGGATTGCCACAGCAGAGGACAAATAATAACATGCACGGACAATACAAATGTTATTTTTATCCTAAAGTGAAGCATGCCCAAGATATATCTTGTCAAGTACAAAATGTCACAATAATCTAGAATAACAATAAGGATAAGAATCTGTTGAATACTCAGGAAAGAAATATTAAATTCAAAAAGTCAAAGAGGAAATGGCAGCTGAAAGTTTTCTGTAGCTATGTCTTTATACAAAGCATATTTATTGAAAGGAAAAAAGTTTTGTTTTTGTTTTTTTAGAAAATGTGCTTTCCCAAGAGAAAAAGAAGCATCACAGCTCCTCTACGTCAGGTAAAAAAAGACAGGAGAACAAGCTTCAAGATTCACATAATGGGGTATTCTTTTACCAAACCAGGAATCAATTGCTTTGGAGAATGGAGATAACATTTTTGAAATCCCTTAACCCCAGTGATCCCTGTTCTGTGAGGTCCCTTGATACTAATCAGACAGTTGCTCATATCAGTTAAATCATTGAAAGGTAATTACCTCTAGTACTCAGTGTTGAGGTATGGAGGTGAGGGAAGCAGGCCTTGAGAAAAGCCCTTATTGTAGTAGTGTCACTCTTAAGTTGCATCGCCTTCAGTTATGCCATCCCCATATATTTCCTTTTATCCTCACTACAAAATGAGGTCATTGGCTTTTCTGATTTCCAACGTCCTTCTATTTTTTCATGTTCTATGAGTAAGGAAGACATTTGATTTATTTTTAAGATATTTTATGTGCAGTTCTTAAAGTTGATATATGGCTTTCTGTTCTAGTGAGATATTAGACTATGAGAATCTGAAAATTCTCTTGAGACAATCCGTACAAAGCCAGAAAAATATAATAGGAAAATTTATTTTACATGCATATCTATCTCTCAGAACAGTAAGGCTAATAAGATTAAGAAAGAAGAAATAAATTAAAACAGGAGTACTGAGCTAGGAAGCTGGCCTGTACCTTACCTTGGTTGTTGGGGTTTTGGTCTCAATAACCTAAGGCATAAGATTTTAAAGCCCATAATGGGGCAGAAATGAAAGACTTGAGCCCACCCAAGGCTAGGACCAAAATGTCCACATAATCAAAGACCCTAGAAATCTGCATCATTCATGAATGAGTATAGTAGAAAAACAAAATCCACTACAAGTCAAAGGAAGATTTTAGCTTTCAAGACCTGGATAGTAAAATAATTCCCTGAAAAATTAGAAAACTGGTGCTTGCACTCCACATAAGTTTTGTGTTCTGAAATTAAACAAAGTACTGATTCAGAAAAAGCAAGTGCAAAACCTCTGAAATTAAAACAAACTAAGAATTTCAAGGAACAGATTGATTAGAATAACTGGACCATTGTAAACTAGGGAGATTGTACAGGAGAATAAGATTGGGGACGTAATGAGGCTCCTTGAGGATCATTTTAAGGAGTTTCATGCTTCAACATGAAAAGGAAAGCAACGTTTAGGAAATACTCCTTTGTTATGTCATTTAATAATAGAAACAGTCTCACACTGCCATTTGTTTTTAAAATAAATAAATTGAGTATTTTGGAAAAGTGCTTCTGAAGTACAAAGTGGTTAAGTGGTAAATTGAACCATAATCTTCTGATCCCAAATCCAGGTTAATTTCTCTATATTACATGACTTTATTTCTTCTTTCACATAGCAATCAAATTAGTCATACCTCCAAATTTAAACTTTAGAATTCTAACTCATTTCAGCTGGATTAGAATTTCTCTTAATTCGTATGCTGTGTTTCTTCACTTGTCAGTGAAAGATCCTTTCACTTTCTTTATAGTTAAGTCAGTACCTATTGAAAAAGTAGACTTCTTAGCCTATAAGCATTGCATACAGGTGACAAGAATTTGCCAACTACAAATGTTAACTGCTCGAAGATTTTTTTTCAAATCTCTGTTTTTATTGAGGTATTTATTTAGTATTGTTGAGTTCTGTTCTTACATAATACTTCATTTCCAGGTAACACACAGCCCTGCCAAGTATTGGTATCTAGGTAATGCTGACCACTTTGAATGAATGTTTCAATATTGAGTCTACCCATCCACAAGCATGGAATGTGTTTCCAGTTGTTTGTGTTGTCTATGATTTCTTTCAGCAGTGTTTTGCAGTTTTCCTTCTAGAGGTATTTCACCTCATTGGTTAGGTATATTTCTAAGTAATTTATTTTATTTTATTTTTGCAGCTATTTTAAAAGGGGCTGAATTCTTGATTTGATTCTCAGCTTGCTTGCTGTTGGTGTATAGCAGAGCTATTGATTTGTGTACACTAATTTTGTATAACGAAACTTTGCTGAATTCATTTATCAATTCTAGGAGCTTTTTGGAAGAGTCTTCAGGATTTTCTAGGTATATGATCATATTATCAGCAAACAGCAACAGTTTGACTTCCTCTTTACCAATTTGTATGCCCTTTATTTATTTCTCTTGTCTGATTGCTTTGGCTAGGACTTCCAGTATTATGTTGAATAGAAGGGTGACAGTGGGCATCCTTGTCTTGTTCCAGTTCTCAGAGGGAATGTTTCCTCTTTTCCTCTTTCAGTATTATATTGACTGTGGGCTTGTCATAGATAGGCTTTTAATACATTGATGTATGTTTCTTGTATGCCAATTTTGATGAAGGTTTTAATCATAAATGGATGCTGGATTTTGTCAAGTACATTTTCTGCATCTATTGAGAAGATCATGTGATTTTTATTTTAATTGTGTTTATGTGGTATATCACGTTTATTGACTTATGTACGTTAAACTATCCCTGCATCCCTGGTATGAAACCCACTTGATCACGGTGGATTATCTTTTTGATACGCTGTTTGATTCAGTTAGCTAGTATTTTGTTAAGCATTTTTGTATCTATGTTCATCAGGGATATTGGTCTGTAGTTTTTTGTTGTTATGTTCTTTCCCGGTTTTGGTGTTAGGGTGATACTGTCTTCATAGAATGATTTAGGGAGAATTCACTCTTTATCTTGTGCAATAGTGTCAGTAGGATTCATAACAATTCTTTGAACATCTGATAGAATTCAGCTGTGACTCCATCTGGTCCAGGACCTTTTTTTGTTGTTGGTAATTTTATTACCATTTCAATCGTGCTGCTTCTTTTTGGTCTGTTCAGGCTTTCTAATTCCTCCTGATTTAGTCTAGGAGGGTTGTGTATTTCCAGGAATTTATCCACCTACTCTAGGTTTTCTAATTTATGTGCATAAAGATGTTCATAGTAGCCTTGAATGATCTTTCGTATTTTGTAGCATCAGTTGTAATATCTCCCATTTCGTTTTCAATTGAGCTTATTTGGATTTTCTATCTTCTTTTCTTGGTTAACCTTGCTAATGCTCTATCAGTTTTATTTATCTTTTCAAAGAACCCGCTTTTTGTTTCACTTATCTTTTGTATTTCTTTTGTTTCAATTTCATTTAGTCCTGCTGTGATATTGGTTATTTCTTTTGCTGGGTTTGGGTTTGGTTTCTTCTTCTGTAGTTTCCTGAGGTGTGACCTTCGATTGTCTATTTGTGCTTTTTCAGACTTTTTGATGCTAAAGGTTGTAAACCTTCCTCTTAGCATCACCTTTGCTGCATTCCAGAGGCTGTGATACGTCGTGTCACTATTATTGTTCAGTTCAAAAAATATTTTAAATTTCCGTCTTGATTTCATTGTTGATACAACAATCATTCAGGATCAGGTTATTTAATTTCCATGTATTTGTCTAGTTTTAAAGGTTCCTTTTGGAGTTGATTTCCAATTTTATTCCACTGTGGTCTGAGAGAGTACTTGATATAATTTCAATTTTCTTAAATTTATTAAGATTTGTTTTGTGGCCCATCCTATGATCTATCTTGGAGAAAGTTCCATGTGCTGATGAATAGAATGTATATTCTGTGGTTGTTGGGTTGAAAGTTCTATAAGTATCTCTTAAGCCCATTTGTTCTAGGGTATAGTTTAAATCCATTGTTTTTTTGTTGACTTTCTGCCTTGATGGCCTGTCTAGTGAAAAATAAATTAATTAAATAAATAAAATAAAATAAAATGAATGTTCCTTCCTCTTTTAGTTTTAGGAAGGGTTTGTATCTAATTGGCAATATTCCTTTCTTAAATGTTTGGTAGGATTCACCAATAAAGTCAGCTAGATTAGAAATTTTCCTTGTAGAAAAGATTTAAAATTAAAACTCAATTGGTTTAATAAATTTAATGTTACCCAACCAATCTATTTCTTCTTGAATGAGCATTAGTAGTTTGTGGTATTCAAAGAAGTAGTTCATTTTGTTTAAATTGTCAAATTACTGGCATACAATAATTCATAATGTCTACTCTTTCTCGTTTTGATATCTGTAGGTTCTGTAGTGATGCTGCTAATTCATTCTTGTTAGTGGTAATTTCTGTCTCTTCTAATTTTTTATAACCAGCCTAATTAGACCTTTATTCATTGTATTTGTCTTTTTCTAAGAGGCAGCTTTAGTTTACTTGATTATCTCTATTGTTTTTCCATTATACATTTCAGTAATTTTTGATATTTATTATTATTATTACTTGCTGGTCTAGTATCTTCTGACAAAATGAGGCACATATTTTAATTAAACAGTGGCATTTTACTTCTGTTCTCATCTTTGACATAATTAAACTGCCATATATTGTTCAAAAATTTTACATATGGTTTGCTATAGAATCAGGGTGAAATATGAGTAATAAAGACAATGACCTATATCTGCACATGTGGCTAATGAGCACTTAAAATATTGTTAATAAAACTCAAGAATATAATTTTAAACTTTAATTTAAAATCGAGTATTTGTTATTGAAAAACTTACAAATATTTTTAGAGCAATTTGGATGTGTGAATGTAAGTTTTTGCCTATAAAATGTATGAAATCTAAATACACACCAAGTATTTCTGATACTGTCCTATGTCATATGCCTTCAATGTATACTCTATAATTACTAGGTTTTTTTTAACTTTATATTAAAAAAATCACATTAACCCACATTCGACTAGCTATAAAGAACTTTGTTTTCTATAGTTTTATACAAAATGATAGAGGTATGTGTGTGTACTTGTGTATATGTGTGTGTGTGTGTGTATATGTGTGTGTTCATGTTTCGTATTAGTCAAGATTCAATGAGAAAAAACAGAAACAATGCTAGTTGTTTTAATAATGTCAGTTGTTTATATAATAATAAACAATAGCTTAAACAGATATTTGAAAATTCAAAAGTGGAAAGAAAACTGAAAAATTACAGAGATAGGCATTGGAGGAAGCAGTACCACTCCTAGGGCTGGGGAAAAATAACAAAGTAGTAACAGATATTAGAATCTAGTAGTTTTGGGAAGGGCTTCGAAAACCTGGACTCAGATTTCTGAAGAGGGGACACTGTTTATTTAGTAGTGATATCTCATATCACCTGACATTGGAGGAGGAGCCTCACAGGGCAGGAATTCAAACTCCTGAGTAGGAGGCTTTAGTCAACTGGTACTGATAGCTCATGAGTATACTAGTGCTCTACAGAACTAGATCTCAGATTTTTGAGCAGAGAGGGATGTACGGGTGTGAGGGAATGGGGAATACGGCCTAAAGCATGTTGAAACTTCTTAAGAGGAATGATAATGCTGATTCTTGGTGTGCTGATAAGAAAGCTAGAAGCTAGACTCTACTGCTCTTCCTAGGGTCAAGAACAGTCACTGAAATAAACAAGAAGGAACAAATCCTTTGCTGTTCTAGCCTATATGTAGTGTCTATCAGGGATTCAACTAGCAAAAGAGAAATGCAGCTTACACATTGTCAGCCCCAGTATCCCAAAGTGGAATATAGTAGGACATCGTTGGGGCTGGAAACAATAGCTTAAAAACTGGCACAGTCCACCTCTTGTCTATCAGGCATTGATACACATTTACCCTCCCATACATAATTAAATTTCACACAATAACAATAACAAACTTATGCTAGTTTTTTCAAACCAAGATTATTTCATTCTATGCACATGAAGAGGTAACTAATGTCCCAAAAGCCATTTCTGATTAATTATTCCTTTTTGATTAATAGCCATATTATCCATCTCTGGGAGATGTTATATAAACCTCAAATTTTGTCATGGTTTATATAAACATTCTGTACTCTAAAGAGAGAATTATAAGATTAAATATCATTGATAACACATATGAAATAATAAGACATGAAATGTTAATATATAAAAATACTGTATATGTATACACACAGACAGACACAAATTAGGTTATATGTGAAAACACAGAAGGACCAGGAAAGAAAAGATGCATAGCTGCTGCAGACCTCATTTTATTTTATTTTTTTTACTACCCATTAAATGTTATATTTGCACTCAGCCAGCATTTCGGCTGGCTAAGGATCTCTACCTATCAAATGACTCAAACCTTCTTTCCTAGAGAATTGGAAATCTGAGTGATTTTCACCTTTCTTCGGTTACTGTAGTCTTCCATTAAATTATTGAACACAGAAATGCTAAAAACTTCAAAGAAGGCCCTGAATTTCATGCATATAGTCTTTCCTGCACTACCATGTAGCAACACCCCAAATGTATCTTGAGAATATGGATTTTTTAAAAAAAATCATGTTCTTCATAAAACTTAACAATGTGCAATTGTGTTTTGGTGCAAAGTCCCAAAAGATTGTGCTAATTGATTCCACAACACTTATTTTTATGCCTTTAAATTCATGTTGAAGGTGTGGCATTATGACAATGGAGTGTATATTGATTGCTATGGTGAAAGGCAAAAAATTTTCTTCTCAAATGGATTCTATCTGAACATAGATGAGAAACGTTTTTTATGTTTCTTTTAACTATTTATAATTTGAGTAATTATGACACCTGATACCTTGAAAGTAGTGAAGGAGAAAAATTATGTTTCCATATTAGCTATCTATATCAAATCAGGCAAGAATAAGAAAGAAAATTGATTTTTTTTTGCTAGAAGCCTGATGGATGTAACAATTTTCCTCAAAGGAAAAATAAAGGAAATCTCTTATTACCTATATGGCAACATCTGGCCAAATGAAAATGTGCAAAAAAAAAAAAAAAAGTGAAATAAGTTGGGGCTGTTTCTGGCTCAGTGTGAAGTACGAAAAGATTTTAAAGTTAAGTGTTAGATTGGAAAAAAATGAGGATTTATGATCATCTTCTTTGACACTTTTTATAATGTGCATCATAGAATATATGGGAAAAAATTCCCATTAAATTATGAAGAAACAAATATGATAAGTGGACAGATATTGGGTGAATTTAAGAAAAACAAGGTATTTTTATTGTATATTTAATTGTAAACAGTGTAAATAGGCCCTGGCCTGTTTTCTAAGCCTTTGTATAGGTTCAACAATATGGCTTTCTTCCTTCCAAAGACTGACCTATCTATTCCCACTATACAGTGCCAAATCTAATACCAGAGACCAACTTTGAGGCTCTGATAAAACACCATTCTTTCAGAGCAGAGTGGGGAGCAGCCAGTACCTTTGCCACCCTCACTCAGCTGGAGTTACTTAATACATTATGTCTGTTTCATCCATTTTCTAAGTCATACCTACTGGAATAGGTAATCTATTGCAAAAGTATTTCTCAATCCTTGCTGCATGAATCAGTGTTTTTTTTTTTAATACCCATGTGCAAGCCCCAAACACAGAAATTCTGAATTAACATATATGGAAGTCTGGGCATCAGTATTATAATAGGTTGAGAACCATTGCATTCATGCCCAAAATGAATGAGTCTAGAATTCGTAACATTTATGTAACCACAGATGTGCTAAAAATGAATTCTAAGAACACGATGAGTATAGCATTCTCCTAATCTCCTTTTTTACACAGCCTAGACATCTGCCTTGCAAGCTTACCACTTTCCTTCTCATACTGAGAATCAAATTCTGCCCTGTTGTGTAGAATATTTTGCTAGAACATTAGTATTTGGCCTTATTCTTTTTAGTCTTTTTCTCAAGAGGGTTGATACTATTTAAACTTCTATCACTGAGAAAGTAATGCCAAGCAGGCAGACTACCCAAAGCTATAACCTCAACCACCTGTTTCTGAACAATAGATCTCACACTAAATTAGGTCCCTTTGGAAATAACATCAAATATTACTACTCTGAAGTAGCTAATGTAGTTAGGTTAAAAAAATATATCAGAAGTTGGAAAAAATAGGACCAAGAAGTAAAATAGTAAGCCAAAGTCAAACCAGAGTTCATAAAATTCCTTGAATGCTCATGTTTAGACCCCTGGATCTCCTTTCAGGGGCTTACCTTACCTAAAACCAGAATAATATTCTAGGCACAGCTTACTTGTGACCCCACATCTTTCCTTCCAAGGGGCATTCTACCAACTTCCCAGCATATCTGCTGGACAATCATCAATGCATAATGACAGAACCATATGTAACTTCTTAAAAATACATACCACTATTGTTATACTGAATCTATCTTAATTTTGATTAATAATTATTCCCTCTTATTTAATTGTATTATTATTTTTAGTTAGGAGTTGATGGGCTTAAGAACCAGATTGGTTCTTAAGAACATTGTTTTAATTCCTGGCCCTGCCATTTACTATTCATGTAACTTCGGACATATTATTTTCCAGGGGCTATGTTTTCTCTGATAACTAAAATTATCCACTTGTAGATATTCTTTGGTGGTTAAAAAGAGGTTGTATATTTTTAGTTTATCTTCTTTTAATTCAATGGAATGAGCAAATAACTGGGTTAAGGCAGGGACGTGTGCAGTAGTTTCTCATCTACTATCAGACAGTTTTATTACCTTAGACAAGTCCCTGAACTTCTCATTCCATTGAGATTAGCCACTTTGAAGAATAAAATGCAAAAAAAAAAAATTAAAAATGAACGAAACCTAACAGATCTGAGCAATATCATTAAGTATATCAACATATGTGTAACAGAAGTGCTAGAAGGTGAGAAGAGAGAACTGACTTCTTACCAGAAACTATGAAGGCCAGAATATTGGCATATTCAAAGTGCTGAAAGAAAATACTGTGACCCCAGATTTCTATATCTGGCAACATTATTCTTCAAATATGAAAGAGAAATAAAGAAATTTCCCAATAAATGAAAAACTGAGAGCTTGCATTGCTAGTAGACTTCCTCCAACCATGCTAAAGGAAGCAGTTCAAGCTGAAAAGAAAGGACACTAAACAGTGACTCATCCACCAGAAAAAGTAAAGAGCACTGTGAAAGATAACTGCATAGATAAATTTAAAAGACTACAAAAATGCTCTTTGAGTTTGTAACTTATTTTTTCTATCCGATTTAAAACAAAATATATAAGGCTATAATTATAAATCCAGGTTGGTGGGCATATAATGTATACAGATAAAATGTGGGACAATAACAGCATAAAAATGAGAGCATGCTCCATATAACAGGGGTCCCCAACCTCTGGGCCATGGGCTGCTACTTGTCTGTGGCCTGTTAAGAACCAGGCCACACAGCAGGAGGTGAGTAGTGAAGTGAGTATAACCTGAGCTCTGCCTCCTGTCAGCTAAGTGGCAGGTGAACTGGGCATGTGAGGGATCTAGGTTGCACATTCCTTATGAGACTCTAATGCCTGATGAACTGAGATGGAACAGTTTCATCCCAAAACCATCCCTTCTACCTCCATCCATGAAAAAATTATCTTCTATGAAACCAGCCCCTGGCACCAAAAAGGTTGGGAACAGCTAGGAATTATGTATTCAACACAAAAGAAAGCAGTAATGGAAGAACTGAGGAACAATAAAGAAAGACATAACATGTATAGAAAACAGATAGAAAAATGTCAAGAATAATAACATTTTATCAGCCATTACATGACATATAAGTAGATTAAGTTCTGCAATAAAAGGACACAAATTGGCTAACTGGATTTTTTAAAATGACCTCAATATATGTTGTCTACAAGAGACTCACATTAGATGCACAGATAGGTTGAAAAGAAAAAGATATTTTATGTAAAAAATATTCAAAAGAGAGCTTGAATAGGTATACTAATATCAGACAAAACAGACTTTAAGACAAAAATTTTAACAAGTGACAAAAGAAGACATAATATAACAATAAAAAGGTCAATTGCTGAAGAAGATACAAGAATTATAAATATGTATGCACTTATCAACAGAGCCACACAATACATGAAGCAAAAACTGACAAAACTGAAGGCAAACATTTGCAAGTCAACTCTAATAGAGACTTTTTAATACCCACTTTCAGTAAGGGATAGGACTAGACCAAAAATCAGCAAGAAAAACCTTGCACAATATTATGTGCCAATGAGACCTAACAGATATTTATAGAACACTCTACCCAACAACAGAGTGCACATTCTTTTCAAGTGCACATGGACTATTTTCCAGGATTAATTACATGTGAGACCATAAAACAAGTCTCAAAACTTTGAAAAGATTGAAATCATACAAGGTATATTCTCCAACCACAATGGAAAAAAAATAGAAACTAATAATAAAAAGAAATTTGAAACATTTATGAATATATGGGGAAATTAAGCAACATACTGCTAAATAATAGTTGAATTAAAGAAAGAATCACAAGAGATTTAGGAAATGCTTTGAGATACATTAAAAACAAAATATACCAAAGCCATGGAGAATAGCAAAAGCGGCAATGAGGGAAATCTTTTTTTTTTTTTTTGAGATGGAGTCTCACTCTTGTTGTCCAGGCTGGAGTGCAACGGCACCATCTCAGCTTATTGCAACCTCCGCCTCCTGGGTTCAAGTGATTCTCCTGCCTTGGCCTCCTGAGTAGCTAGGATTACAGGCACCTGCCACTAGGCCCAGCTAATTTTTGTATTTTTAGTAGAGACAGGGTTTCACCATGTTGGTCAGGCTGGTCTTGAACTCCTGACCTCAGGTAATCTGCCCGCCTTGGCCTCCCAAAGTGCTGGGATTACAGGCATGAGCCACCATGCCCGGCCTGAAATTTATGGTTATTAATGACTACATTAAAAAAGGAAATATCACAAA
Organism: Homo sapiens; assembly: GCF_000001405.40. Lineage (NCBI taxonomy): Eukaryota > Metazoa > Chordata > Mammalia > Primates > Hominidae > Homo > Homo sapiens. The sequence continues at coordinate 49,439,386 of NC_000011.10, read as the reverse complement.
TTAATAGCATAACCACCTGCCTTAGAAACAAGAAAATAAAAGATCAAAACTAAACTCAAATAAGAAGAAAAAATAGTAAAGACTCGAGTAGAAATAAGCAAAATAGAGAATACGAACACAGTAGAGAAAATCAATGAAACCAAAGGTTGATTCTTTGAAAAGATCAACAAAAATGACAAACATTTAGCTAGACTGGCCAAGAAAAAAAAAAAAAGAAGAAGATTCAAATTACTAAAATCAGGAATGAAAGAGGGGACATTACTATTGTCTTTACAGGAGAAAAAATTACAAAGGAATACTATAAACAATTGTATGGCAGCAACTGATACTAGATAAAGTAGATAAAATAAATTCCTAGAAACACACAAATTATTAAAACAGACTCAAGAAGAAATAGAAATCTAAACAAACAGACCTGTAGTAAGTAAAGATACAAGCTACTCATCCAAAAAAAAAAAAAAAAAATCTGCAAAGAAAATCTCAGGACAAGATAGCTTAATTAATTGATTTTCTCACATGTTTAAAGAACATTAATTAAAGTATTTCAAAAGAAGTAGAGTAGGAGGGAACATTTCCTGACTTACTCTACGAGGCCAGTATTATCCTGTGAGCAAAGTCAGACAAAAAACCATCACAAGAGAAAACTACAGAACAATAACACTTGCAAATATAAATGGAAAAAAAATTCTAAGCACAATACTGAAAAACTGCCCAGCAGCATATAAAAATGTTTATGTCAAAGCCAAACTGGATTTATTTGAGGAATACAAAGGTGGCTCAACATATTAAAATCAATAAATTTATTATACCACATTAATATAATAAAGAGAAAATAAAAACCCATGGTCATCTCAATAGGTGCAGAAAAAGATAGTACCTTTCATGATTTAAAAAACAAACATGCATCAAGCTAGGAATAAAAAAGAGCTTTCTCATTTTGATAAATAACACCTATGAAAAAGCCACAGCTAACACATCATACTCACTTACTAAAAACTGAAAAAAAAACTCAAATAATTTTCCTAATGTGAAGAACAAGGCAAAGATGTTTGCTTAGACTACTTCTGTTTAACATTGTATTGAAGGTTTAAGCCAGGGCCATTAGGCATGAAAAAGAATAAAAACTGTCCACACTGGAAAGGAAAAATTAAAACTATTTCTGCAGATAATAGTGTCTTAAATCATAAAGAAGCTACAAATAAACAGTTTGAACGAGTTTAGAAAAATTGCAAGATACAAAATCAATATATAAAAATCAGTTGTATTTCTAAACATTAGCAATAAACAAACTGAAAAGGAAAGTAAGAAAACAATTTCAGTAATATCAGAAAGAATAGAATACTTAGGAATAATTTTAACCTAATCAGGGCAAGACTTATATACTGAAAACTATAAAACACTATGGAAAGAAATTAATAAAGATCTGAATAAAATAACAGGAAGACCCCCCTTGTTCACAGATTGGAAGACTTAACTATCATTAACATGACAATACTTTCTAAGTTAGTCTACAAATTCAACACAATCTCTGTCAAGTGAGAGGAAGTTAAAAGATCATGATTCAAATGCCACAGAGCCTCACTGCTCTTAATGTTGTAGTAGATTTTCTTGAATAAATGTTTCAGCATTTGCTGTGTACCCTTAGAATAACTTCTAGAGACTTTAAGTGGGGGAGTATTATTTTTTTCATAATTGTTACTAGTTATGCTTGTTTTGCAAAGGAGAAGGTCCGTGAAGCTTCTCCCACTGCCAATCCAGAAGTGGAAACCCAGAAACCCTTTTTAAAAAAAAATTCCTACACTGAATGTCATTTCAACATGTAAAACACATACAAGTAGAACTGCTCTAATTGTGATTGGGGTAAAGTCTCCGAAGTCCATTCGGGTGGCAAGTTCTCAAATATTTCACGGACTCTAGATGACTTATTTATCAACCCTTGGATTAGATGACAGTATTCTTTCTTTTTTTTTTAACTTTTATTTTAAGTTCAGGGGTACATGTGCAGGTTGATTACATAGGTAAACTTATGTCATGGGAGTTTGTTGTACACTGTTGGTTGAAGTATAAATTAGTTCAACCATTGTGGAAGAGAGTCTGGCAATCTCTTGAAGACCTAAAGACAGAAATACCGTTCGACCCAGCAATTCTATTACTGAGTATATACCCAAAGAAATATAAATCATTCTATTATAAAGAAACATGCATGCGTATGTTCATTGTAGCACTATTTACAATAGCAAAGACATGGAATCAACCTAAATGTTCATCAATGATAGACTGAATAAAGAAAATGTGGTACACATACACCGTGGAATACTGTGCAGCCAAACAAAACAAAACAAAAAAAACAAAAGGAGATCATGTCCTTTGCAGGGACATGGATGAGCAGTGTTCTTTCAAGCCCTAATATTTGTGAAGTGTCTAATATGTTATTTATATATCTAAGAACTCTCCTCTCTCCTTTGTAAGGAAAACTGCTTTTCTTAAGTGCCATTTCTCTTCCACTCCTTCAAGGAAATCTGTTCACTTTTCCTTTTCTTCTCAGTAAATGCTATCTACGTATTTAGTGCATACTTAATTCTTTTAAGCCTTATTGACAGTTACATCAGTTTTGAGTCTAAGCCCATTAGGTAATCAGGCCTCTGAGAAGCTCATATTTTTTCAATGAGTATACCTAATAACAACTTCTAAACAACTACAGATTCTCAAATGTTTTGGGCACAACAACAAAAAATGATAAATCGGACCCTCACTGATGCTTTTAAAAGTAAATAAGCAAATCATAAGAACTCAGGGATATGGGAGATAAAAACAATGATTCTCACTGTCCAAGGATATATAAGTGGGTAGGGAAATGCCTTCAAACAAGGAGTTTACTCCTTCGACCTTTGATAAAAGGATAAGCTTTGTCAGACGGGCCCAAAGAGGAGCTTGCTGATAAGAGTTGTCACAACCACTCCACCCCTCAGAAGTCCTCTGCCCTCACCACTTGGCTGTGGAGTGACATATGTCTTCATAGCTCCTATTACCCTTGATTTTTCTTAACTGGGCCTTTCTCATTTCATGAATTTTACTACTAATCACTTGGAGAAAATAGATAATAAGTAATCAACTTGGGATTTTAATAGAAATTTCAAAATTTTCACTATCACAAGTCCATTTGGTTTATATGCTGGAGTCTTCTTGAGATGTTTCTGAGTTTTCTCCTTTGATGTTCTACTCTCTGTTATTTGTTTGTTCTCAGAGGGGGTTTCACTAGTCTCTCACTCTTCCACAAATTGTTTGTTAGCAGAAGAAACAGGAATCCTTTCCTCCATGTTATCTCCGTTTCCACAGTGGAGATTTAATAAAAATAAAATAATCAGTTTTTCCTTTCTTGAAAGTGGCAATTAATATTTTTAACTCCAGATCGAATGATGCTCAATCACTAGCTTTTTTAAGACATACTTTAGTTTGTCAATTTTTCCAATTGGAATAGAGGATTAGAAGAGTAGAAAAGGAAAAAAACTAAGAAATATTATGTAAATAAAAATTTTGGCTGGAGAAGGAAATAAATGGTAAGTACATGGGTGGATATCTAACTACTATTTTTGGGCAAAATGCAAAGAAAATAGTCTGTTTTTTAGTATTTGATCGATCTTTTCTTGGGCTCCTTTTTCCAGCAGTCCAGATCATTGGTTGTGATTAAGATTTCAGGTTGTCAGCTTCAGTTGAATTTGCTCTCTGAAGAATGTTTTACATTATCTTCTTTGTTCATTAAGCTAGACTTTAACACATCATGCTTTTTCTTATCTAAATTGCCAATGATATTAGTGTTATTATTGCATAAATTATTTGTGTATTGGTGTTCTGTATATTTCTATAATTGTAAACCATAAATACTCTTAGTCATGCATAGAATATTTGCTGTTCTTTGGAAAGAAGCATTTGAGTTCATAGATAATTCATAGAGAATTTTGCTTCTTTTAGATGGCATCTCTGTGTTCACATATTTTTTACCTTCTTTGCTTTCTTGTCTTATCTACAGATATGACCTCTGATTTTTCTTACATTTAGTATGGGCCATAGGTACTTAGCCCCATCATATGTATTGGTCCTCTGCCTCTAATCCCTCCAACAACAACAACGACAACAAAATCCAATCTGCGTAACACCTCCATATAATTCTTTCTATGCACTATTTTTTCACACAATTCCACTCTTCAAAGGGCAATAGTCTTCCACTGCATATATATTACATACAGAATAAATTCAAATACTTTGGGCTGATACCCATAGATTTTTGCTATTTTGTTCTTGCTGCCCACTTTTCTACTATTGTTTTAGTTTATAAGCACCAAACTAAGCATTCATTTTTCTCATTTTCTGAAGCAGAGGTGGAAACCTTGCCTGTTCATATGCAGATTATCATGTAGGTTATTACATGAAGATTATCATGTAGATTATTACATAAAGAATAATTCCTCTGGATTCCTACCAAACCATGTCAATTACTGGGGAGGCTACAAGTGTTAGAGTTTGTGTCTGAAGGGCCTTATGCACAATAGGAATGATATCCTCTTGTCGGGGGAAAGACTTGTCATTCAAAATAAAAGAGTTCTATATCTGTACAGATAGTAGATATATGATAAACTTTTCCACTGTAATTCTCAGAATCAACTGAAATCTACCACAGTTGGGGGAGAGCAGTAAGGCTATTAATGTCACATGAAAGTTGATGCTGCCCCCGCCGGGCTCGCGCCGCAGAGGCCGGTGAGGCGCGGGCGGCCACGCCGCGGAAGGCGCGGGCTGAGCAGAGCCGGGCGTTGGAGCCCGCGCGCGCATGGAGGCGTTGCCGGCAGCCCCCTGAGGGCAGCGTGGAGACAAGACCCGGCGACCTCCGCGCATCCCTCGAGCCGCCACGCGCTCTCGCCACCGGGCGGCGACGGGCCGCGGAGCCGGCGCGGCCATGGCGACGGGCGGCCAGCAGAAGGAGAACACGCTGCTTCACCTCTTCGCCGGCGGGTGTGGAGGCACAGTTGGTGCTATTTTCACTTGTCCACTAGAAGTCATTAAGACACGGTTGCAGTCTTTAAGATTAGCTCTCCGGACAGTCTACTATCCTCAGGTTCATCTGGGGACCATTAGTGGAGCTGGAATGGTGAGACCAACATCCGTGACACCTGGACTCTTTCAGGTTCTGAAGTCGATCTTGGAGAAAGAGGGACCAAAGTCACTTTTTAGAGGCTTGGGTCCAAATTTGGTTGGAGTTGCACCATCAAGGGCTGTATACTTTGCATGTTACTCCAAAGCCAAAGAGCAATTTAATGGCATTTTCGTGCCTAACAGCAATATTGTGCATATTTTCTCAGCTGGCTCTGCAGCTTTTATCACAAATTCCTTAATGAATCCTATATGGATGGTTAAAACCCGAATGCAGCTAGAACAGAAAGTGAGGGGCTTTAAGCAGGTGAATACACTCCAGTGTGCTCGTTACGTTTACCAGACCGAAGGCATTCGTGGCTTCTATAGAGGATTAACTGCCTCGTATGCTGGAATTTCCGAAACTATAATCTGCTTTGCTATTTATGAAAGTTTAAAGAAGTATCTGAAAGAAGCTCCATTAGCCTCTTCTGCAAATGGGACTGAGAAAAATTCCACAAGTTTTTTTGGACTTATGGCAGCTGCTGCTCTTTCTAAGGGCTGTGCCTCCTGCATTGCTTATCCACACGAAGTTATAAGGACGAGGCTCCGGGAAGAGGGCACCAAGTACAAGTCTTTTGTCCAGACGGCGCGCCTGGTGTTCCAGGAAGAAGGCTACCTCGCCTTTTATAGAGGACTGTTTGCCCAGCTTATCCGGCGGATCCCAAATACTGCCATTGTGTTGTCTACTTATGAGTTAATTGTGTACCTGTTAGAAGACCGTACTCAGTAACAGGCCGGAAAATTGTGCTCTAGAAGAATAAAACTGAAAAACTCTAAAAAAAAAAAAAAAAAAAAAAAGTTGTTGCTTAGGGCTTAGGGATATAGTACTGGGAATATTTCAGTGAGGAGGTTGGAAACCAGAAAGTATTGTCTGCTATGACAAGAGTGTTGGGTATGTGAAAGTGTGCCTGTACTACATATGCTCACTTTGAACTTACTTAACTGTTATTACCTTGAATAATGAGTTTTACTTTATAGCACTTAAAGACACCTTTCTCCATCAGATACAGGTTCTTGGTCTTTGACTGAAGATATAAAAATCATATAAATGATTAAAGATATAAAAAGAGATAAATAGATATAAATGGTTTAAGTGGCTTTCTTCCCTGAAAATTCCTTAAGGGAAGGACTCTGCTTTCTGAAGCTTTTCATCTCCCATTTTACTACATACATTTCCTGTACTTGCCCGTAGGTAATAGTTCGTTTGTATCTATTTTCTGAATATATGTTTTGAAGAAACATATAATATATTCTCCTCATTCCCAGGGGATACATTCTGAAAACCCTCTGGGATAGTTACTTATCAAATATTTATTATCAACTGTGTACAGGCACGATTCTCTTTTCTATGGACATAGCAGTGAACAGATGAAGTTTTTATTTCTAATGTGAAATGTCACATAGTTTTCTACTCAAAGATCTTTTTCAATGTTTTTCTTTTTCCTGATTAACTTAGAAAATGGGCAAGTCATATAGGCTTACTGTGTGTATGTGTGTGTGTGTGTGTGTGTATGCAGAATACACAATTGGAAGCACTTGGTGTCCTGAAAAGTGCCAAGTACAAAAGACTCAGGTTTGATTCCTACTACTCCATTTACTAACTAAATAGAGGGAAGTTGCATAAACCCTCACTTTTTGTTTGTTTGCCTTTTTTTATATGTATTTTAATGGGAGTACTTTTGTACAAATACCTCATTAAGGCTAAGAACACTTATCATATTCAGACTGCAGGTTTCAAATGTTGATTCTGCCACTTCACACTTACCGGCTGTGTAACCTTAGGCAAGTTTTATGTCCCTTTTGTCCTCCAGTTTTCTCATCTGTAAAATACAAATATAACATATCTCATAGGGTTATTCTGAGGTTCAAATGAGTTCCTGTGTGTGAAGTGCTTTGAATAATACCTGGCATACAGTGGTATATGAGCTAACTCTCACTACTGCTACCATGCTACATTTCTTGCAGTTTTGTTGGAGAAATAAATATGATATATATATATATCAAAATTCTCAGCATAGCACTGGATGCATGACTGTCATCCAATAAATTGAAATTATTACTGAAGCAATCAGTCATTTTTTATTATTCTAAGAGCCTCAGAAGCATCACTCTAGAGAAGAATAGTAGGACAATAATTTATGTTAAATGAAGAGAAATTTTGGAAGAATGAGAGGCAGCATAGCCATCTTAAGAAAAGTAATAGCTATTTGTCATATGTAGAAGTTGTCTTAGTCACTATTGCTCCCCTGGCATACTATGATCTCCACTAAACAGAAGTATTATATTTTGATTTATTATAATTTAATATAATACACATATCCATTATAATCATAGTTCTAAAATTAAAATCCAGGAATGGTTACTTCTTATCTAAAGCACTTAGGTTCAAATTAACCCTTGGGATCAAGCCCAGACTCCCCACCCTGATATGCATAAGGCCTTTCACAGTGTAAACCACCTCCACCTTTCTGGGCTCACTTCTTGTTGATCCCGCACTGCTCTACATTGCATCCCACACCAGATCACTTTTATTTTTCAATTACATCAGTGCCCAGGGTCCCTGTCAGTCTACACATTCTGTGTGGTACCTTTCCCATAATTTACTCATCCAATTTAAATACCACTTTCTCGTTTCCCCATCTGGTTAGCTGCTCCTGCTGTAATCCCATAGGCTTTATACACATCTTTAAGAGCATCATTTACATTGCCTTAACACTTTATGTATGCGTTTATCACAACATGGAGGGAGATCAATGAAGATAGGGACTATGCTTCTACATCACTGGAGCTTGACATGTCATGATTCTTAACATGATAGAATATTTATTGAATAAATAAATGGACAACTCAGTGAAGGGAGTAAGGTAAGTTTTGTTATCACCACTTCACCGGTAAGAGGGGTGAGGCTTTGAAGGCCCATCAGTAATTCCTATTGAAAGCCAAGAGAATAGCAGACCTCCCATTTACACCCAGCATTGTCTGGAGGTCTGTTAGGAGACATTTTCTAGATTCATCTTGACTACTGTGGCCTGGCTCATTTTTTTTGAGTGCAATTTCTGCCTAATGCAGTGTCTCTCAATCCTGGGTGCACACATTGAATTGTTCATAGCAGGGTGCCTGCTACTTAATGATATACTTAAATGTTTTTTGGAAAAGGAGAGAAAAAAAAAACACTGAAACTGCCTTTCTTTCTTAAACTTTTAATTATTTAGGTTCTTATACTAAGTTCCTCCAAGTTTCATCATTAGTTTAAGTATTTTAATCTGATTTTAACTGCCTTACTGATTCCCCAAGGGTTTGTTTCTGCTTTTTTCAACTAAGTTAAGAACTTCTAGACTATATACTTAAAATTGTAGTTAATTGAGATTGGCCACAGTTGAATTTCTTAGCTGCGTAACAGGATTTTCATTTGAAGCTATTTATTCTTGACAATCTCTACTCTTAAAGTGTGGAGTTCTCTTAAAGGGGCTGTTTTTCAGTGAAAATTTCCAGATACTCCTCAAATGTGTTTCATCATTAGCCAGGAATCAGGAGGAAATAGAGCTCCTGGGATGCTATTATTTCAAACCCAGATAGATGCTCCAAGTTTTTCCCAGTAAAAGTAGGTTGTCTATCTACTACCGTGTTGCTCCCTTTGAGCTCCCAAACTCAGCTGTTGGTCCATTGAATTATACAGTAACTAGGCACGATTATGTGACTGCATGGCTTAAAATCCTCCAATGGCTCCTCACAGCTTTTAAACTAATATTGACTAATTACCTTTCATGCAAACCTACAGTATCGGTGTTAAACCACATATACCTACAGATATCCACATAATATCCTTCCTTTCAATCCATCTGATCTACTTGCAGGGTCCCAGAAGCATACTTCTGTTCCTTCATGCTTGTGCTTTACTCCTCCTAGAGTGCTTTTTTCCCTCTTATTACTTTGCCTAGATCTCTGCTATTCATTTTCTAAAACTTAAGTTCAAGTGTCACCAAAGGGGCACCTTGACCGACACCACTCAATCCTCATCCAAGCGGATACTAACTCCTCTTTCTCTTTTTTCCCAAGGCATGAAGGGCCCTTCTCTGTTGGCATTCACACTGTACTGTGCTGAATTATTGACCAGACTTTAGCTCTTTGTAAGACAAGCACATTTCCTCATTTGGCTTTCTATTTCCAGCACTCGGTGCAATGCTTATTACATGCCAGGCACTGTCCTAACTGATGGGGATTAGTGAATGGTACAATCTACCAAGATTCAACCCAAAGTCATCGACATTTCTTAGATCCTTTATTCTCCAAGTTCTGATATCTAAACACTAAATTAGTGATTCATAAAATGTTTAAATAATTTGAATAATTTAAAGAATTTAATCTTAAATAATTTAATCTTGAACAATTTGAAAAAATTTTGGACTCTCTAGGGAAAAAATATACAATTCCTATGTATTTTATGTAAGGTTTATGACACTTTATAAATAATATGAATTCAATCTCCTGGTTGAATTCATATTGTTTTTAACTGGCAGGCACTGTAATGGACACAGGACATATAATGACCAATAAGGCAATATCATTGCTTTCAGAGAATTTCCCATATAGGCAAAAAATTACACATGATCAAATAACTGCAATGCGATATGACAACTGTGATAATCAAAGGAGGAAAATGTCAACTCTTAAAAGTTTTCATAGATGTAGCCATTGAGCTAATCTTAAAGGGGCAAAATATGTAGGAGAATATTAAAGTTTAAAGAACCCCTAAGGAAGAAAAATCCCAAAACAAAGTGTTGTTTATAATTTTAATAACAATTATAATAACATCAATACTTACTCTATGCTACACGTTACTCTAATTGATTTTACGTACATTAATTCAGCTAATGCTAAAAGCGATCCCTGGTAGTAAGTACCATTACCTATTGGTTTATTAGGGCTTCCATAATACAGTGCAAGCATAACTCTAAGATATGGAAGGTTTGACTTCAGACCACCACAATAAAACAAACATTCTAATAAAATTAGTCACGTTAATATTTTGATTTCCCAGTGCATATAAAAAGTTATATTTACACTATATTGTAGTATATTTATGGTGCAATAACATTATGCCTAAGAATAAAATGTACATACCTTATGTTAAAAATACTTTATCCTGAAAAATGCTAAGAATATTCTGAACCTTCAGCAAGTTGTGATCTTTTTTCTGGTAGGTCAGACCTCTGGTAGATCTAGCAGGTTGATGGTTGCTGACCGATCAGGGTGATGGCTGCTGAAGTTTGGAGTGGATGCAACAATTTCTTAAAACAAGAAAAAAATAGAGTTTGCTACATTGATTGACTCTTCCTTTCAAAAAATATATTCTTGTAGCATGTGATGCTGTTTGACAGCATTTTGCCGACAGTAGAACTTCTTGCAAATATGGAGTCAATCCTCTCAAACCCTGCTGGTGCTTTATTAGATAAGTTTATAGAATATTCTAAATACTTTGTTGTCAGTTCAACAGTGTTCAGAGCATCTTCACCAGAAATAAGTTTCATCTCAAGAAACCATTTTCTTTGCTCATCCATAAGATGCAACCCCTCATTCATTCAAATTTTATTATGGGATTGAATAATTTGTTTCCATCTTCAGGCTCTACTTGTACTCCAGTTCTCTTGCAACTTCCCCCACATTTGCAGTAACTTTATCCCGGAAGTCTTGAATCCCCTCAAAGTCAGCCCTGTGGTTTGGATTCAACTTCTTCCACACTCTATTAATATTGATATTTTGGCCACCTCCCATGAAAATTAATGTTCTTAATTGTATCTAAATAGTTAATCCCTTCCAAAAGGTTTTCTATTCATTTTGCTCAAATTTATCAGAGGAATCACTGTATCTCGGCTATACCCTTATGGCATGTATTTCTTAAATAATAGCAATTGAAAGTCAAAACTATTCCTTAATCCATGGGCTGCCAAATGGATGTTGTGTAGGCAGGAATGAAAGCAATATTCATCTCCTTGTGTATCTCCATCAGAGCTCTTGGGTGACCTTGTCAATATGCAGAAATCTTTTGTTTTTTTTGAAGGAGTAGGTCTCAACAGTGGACTTGAAATATTCAGTAAATCATGGTATAAACAGATGTGCTGTCATCTAAACATTGTTCTATTTACAGAGAAGAGGCAGAGTAAATGTAGTGTTTTTGATGGCCTTTGGACTTTTGGAATGGCTTCAACTAAATAAGTACTGGCTTCAACTTAAACTCACCAGCTGCATTAGCTCCTAACAAGAGTTAGCCTATCCTTTGAAGCTTTAAAGCCAGTCATTGAGTTCTTTCTAGCTAAGAAAGCCCTAGATGGCATCTTCCAATAGAAGGCAATTTGTCTACCTTGAAAATTGTTTGTTTAGTGTAATGGCTTTCATCTATTATCTTAGCAAGATCTTCTGGTTAATTTTCTGCAGCTTTTCCATCAGAACTTATTGCTTCACCTGGCACTTTTATTTTATGAAGATGGGCTCTTTTCTTAAATCTCTTGAACAACTGCCAGATTCAAACTTTTCTTCTTCAACTTCCTCACTGCTCTCAGGACTCATAAAATTGAAGAGAGCTGCGGCCTTGCTCTGGATTAGGCTTTAGCTTAAGGGAAGTTTGTAGCTGGTTTGATCTTCTATCCAAACCACTAAAACTTTCTCCATATCGGCAATAAGGCTGTTTCACTTTCTTATCATTTATGTGTTCACTGGAGTAGCACTTTTAATTTCCTTCAAGAATTTTTCTTTTGCATTTACAGCTTGACTGTATTTCACATAAAAGGCCTAGCTATGTTGGCTTTGGACATGCTTTCCTCATTATTATTCTTACCTCTAATATTTATCTAATATTATTCCTACCTCTAGGTAATTATTCCTACCTCTTGATTTAAAGTGACTCTTCCTTTCAATTGAACATTTATAGGCCACTGCAGGGTTATTAATTGACCTAATTTCAATATTGCTATGTGCCAGAGAATGGGGAGGCCTGAAGAGAGGGAGGAGGACTGTTGGTGATGGAGACGTGAGGGAAGGAGGATGGCTGGCAGGTGGAGCAGTCAGAACATACACAAAACTTCACCATCTTATATGGATGTGGTTTGTGGCACCCCAAAACAATTACAAGAGTGACATAAAAAATCACTGATCACAGATCATAATAAGAGATTTAGTAATATTGCAAAAGTTTGAAATATTGTGAGAATTACCAAACTGTTACAGAGACATGACACGAAAACATGCTGTTGGAAAAATGTCACTGAGAGACTTCTACAATGTGGGGTTGCCACAAACCTTCAATTGGTAAACAATGTAATATCTGCATAGAGCAATAAATTGAATTGCAATAAAATGTGGTATACCTGTGCCACAGACTGGGTAGCTTGAACAACAGAATTTTTTTTTTCTCACAATTCTGGAAAATTAAAGTCTGAGATCAAAGTGTCACCAGGGTTGGTTTCTTTTAAGGCTTCTTCCCTTGACTTGTAAATGGCCATCTTTTTCCTGTGTTTTCACATAGTCTCCTCTCTGTCCCTGCCCATGCTCAAATTTCCTCTTCTTCTAAGGACTTCATTCATATTGGATTCTGGCCTACTAATGTCTTCATTTCAACTTAATTATCTCTTTAAAGATCTTATCTCCAAATAAAGTAAGATTCTGAAGTATTAGGAGTTAGGGCTTAAACATTTGAATTTTACAGAGACACAGTTTAGCTCATATGTTATAATCCCCACTTCACTGAAAAGAAGAGTGGAGCACATGAAGTTAAGTAGCTTGCCCCAGTTTGCAGAATTATTAAGTATCACAATCATCTAGCTCCAGAATCTGTGAGGCTAACCTTTAGACTGTATGATTCTCTTTTTATATTTTAAAATAAGAAATAAAATTGATAGACCTATTGAATTAATTTTTAGGACAACTCTTTCATTTGTGGTACACCATAATTCACAAATAGCAAAAATTTGCCTATGTCTATACCATAGGCGTACCAATTTCTTGACAGCAAAGCAGGGTCTAGTCTGGTTAGTACTTGGATGAGAGACCAAATAGCAAATATTTAAAATGTCTTTTCTAAGGAAATTAAATTGGCTCCTGTATTAAGCTGTAGAACTAATGATTTCTGCTCTGTGCAAGTATAATGGCCACAACTAACCTCCCTGCACGTTAAGCACTGTCCTTAGTGTACCTGATCTCATTTATGTCTTACAGCTCTTTGAAGTTTGTTATTATCCACATTTTACAGATGGGTAAACTGAGACTTCCAGAGATTATCTTCTCTCTCCTCACAAAAATCAATAACAGGAATTTGAAACAAGTTTTCTTAGGAGGAGGTTTTGTATTTCTGACTTCTCTTCTTGCTCCCACATCCCAAGGCCAAAGTTAGGATGCCTTGTATAAGCCTTTGTGCTTGTGGAAATTGGACTTTCCCGTCTTGTATGTTCATCTGGCAGGTTCTTCCTATGTTCATAACAAGATATATTGTACTGCTTTCCCCAATTCCCCTCACTTTCACTGCCTCTTGTGAATGTGAGCTATTTAGGTCCCTTTCAGCACTCTTAAAGTCACCTCCCAAGTATTCTGTGGCCCTCCTCAGGAGGGTATTCTAAGTTAGTCATCATGGATACATCTAGGCCCAGATCCAGAATCTCATGTTCATGGCATCCTCTTTGACCTACTTATCTGTTGCCGCCTCATACCCTACTAAGCCAGTGCTGGTCTTTGGCTCCTCATAGCCTGTGAATAAAAAAGGGTTTCAATTCTACAAGGATAAATCATCTGTCTTTAGACTACTGTTACTAGTGTTTCACAACTGTGCCGTCACCCTTTCTTACATACTCTGAGAGATTTTGTAATCAAATTTTGTCACATAAGGTGAAATCAGAAGATGCCTAGTTCTCACTTCTGTGTATAGCTTTGAAAGGCCTGCTAATGCTTGGAACAAAACATGAAAGCCTTGTCCACCTTTCTGTTTTAATTCCTAATTACTAATTTCTTGCATGTTAGTGGAAAAGCATTAAACTTGGAACAGAGCACCTTGATTCTGGTCCTAGCTCTGCCAGCTGGGTGTTATAATAAAAGTCACAGGAATCTAAAATGGAACCCGAGATCTTCTACTGCTTTCTAGTTGAGTTACTATTGGCAAACTCTTTGACTCAATTTTTTTTTTCTGTAAAATGGAATCAATAAAATATTAAGCAAGATATTGTTCAAAGGAAAACTTCAGCCAACTTAAATTTAAAAGAGTTTAATTGAGCAAAGAACAATTTATGAACCAGGTAGCTTCCTGAGCTAGAGTGGGCTCAGATTCTCTAGCACAGCCACATGGTGGAAGAAGATTAATGTACAGAAAAAGAAAAATAACATTAAGAAAATGGAAGTGGGGGACAGAAACAGTCAGATTGGTTATAGTTTGGTGTTTGACTTATTTGAACATGGTTTGAACAGCTGGCCACCTTTGATTAGACAAAACTCGGTGATTGGCACAAGAATAGACTATAGTCTGTTTACAACTCCATTTAGTTTATAGTTCACAATGTAGAGAGAAACCTTTAGGCTGAACTTAAAATATGTAGGAGACAACTTTCAGCTAAACTTGATTTAACAATATATTAAGAGTTTATATTATAGAAATTGCTTTATTGCTAACTTTGTCATCTGGGTTAGATTATAAACTCAAGATTATTGGGTAGATAGTTGGCACATAATCTGTGTGCAAGGCACTGAGAAAACAAAAGATAAAAAGCTGTTGTTCTTCAGCTAGTTGGCAGCATTGATATTCCTCCAATGTACTTGTGCCTGCTTTGAAAACAATGCCTCTGCCTCTATTTGGATTGGCTCCCTCACGGTGAAAGAAAAAGGAGTGATTGTGATCCTGAATTTCTGAAATAAGGAGCATGTTTAACGGACAATCTAGCATCTGTTTTCTGTACCTTTCCCACCCTGTTGACAAATTCTCCTCCATCTGCATCGCTTAAAGCTTAGTCAGAAAGTAACAGAAACCTCCTCATGGAGAGAAAGGAAGGAGAGAACAGAAACCTAGATAGGGAACACTAAAGTGTCAGAGAAAGAAGGAGAAGAACTGGGTTCTCATCTTAACTCAGTCCCTTACCAACTTTGTTCACTACTTTCTCTCTCTCTGCCTTTTTTTTTAAAGTATGATTTCACATTATCTCCTTCGTTGTATTTCTTATGCTAATACATATCCTTTCCTGATCTTGTAATGTATTCATTGCTGCTCCTTGAGTATAAAGTGTGTGAGTCCTGGGTCCTCTGAGAAAAGGAACACTTAAGGTGTTTAATGCTAATTAATGCAGGTGTCTGTTGGATAAACAGCTTACATTTCTAGATGAAGGTCAAGCAGAACGTCTTCCGAGAGAGAAAATCTACACATCAGACTTTGGTAGACGCATGTGCATACTTGCAACTGCAGAAACACTCCTGTCATCCTATGTAAACATACAGAGAACAGGGTATTTACTATTATTAGTAACAGAGTGATAGCCAAGACCCCTTGATTCCAATATTGGTTGTACCGTTAACTGTGACCTTTGGATTCAAATTTTATTTTGCCTCTGTAAAATGAGGGGTTTGGAAGGGAAGAAAACAAATTACTGCTTTTTCAGAACTAAGCCAATCATTTATATTGTCTCATTTTATCCTTAACTATTGTTACTTGACATTTCACTTCCTTATTTTATTTTTGTTCTCATAAATACATTAAAATAAATAGTACCATCCCCTTTCTATAAATGAGCACACTGAGGCTTAGAGAGTTTTACTGGATTAATTTTAAATGGAAATGTTTATTATCATTTAAAAATTACAAGTTTGTTTTAACAAGTAACTACTTCAAAACAAGTACTACGTGAAGAAATAAATAATAAAAAAAGAATAAAAAATATAGGAATGCACTGGCCTTGCTATTGTACAACTGCAATTCAATAAATTTTGAGTGACTAGAAATTTGAGTGGCTGGAGGCATCTCAAGCTGCAGTTCTCAAAGAGAGTATGATTGTCACGTCATCTGTCCTGGCCTTTCAGAAAGATGATATCCAAGAAAAATAACTCCAGATTCTCTTGTATTTTCATTATCTCATTATTCCCATGGCTTCAATTATTAGCTAGAGGTTGGTGACTTCTCAATTTGTGTTTCCAAAGTTAATCTTACTCTGAAATCCAGACCCAGATATCTAGCAAATGACCTGACATCCCCACTGAAATGTCTCAAAAACATCTTGCAGCACAGTACATCTAGAATCATGACATCAACATCCTCCCCTAATATTCCACTTCTTCAAGGATTTCTGTATCTGGTAATACAAACACTTTTCTCAGTAGCATAAGCCAGAAAACTGGGCATTTTCTGTGGTACCTGGTCCCTCAGTTGAACTGCTTGGATTTCCGGACATCATCTTTTTTCCTGGACATAAATTTTCTCACCGATTTCTTTATCCCCCTTGATGCCTGCATATCCACCAACTCCTATTCTTCCTCAGTCCCTTCTCTACAATGAAATCTGTGTGGTCTTTTACAAATGATAATCTGTTCATGTTATCATTCACCATCCAAGATACAAATAGTTACTTTCTACCACTCTTAGGAAAAAAACACAAATCTCCCTAACATGGCCTCTGCTACCCTGCATGATTTGGCCTCAGTTCACCTTCCTAGACTCATCTGGAGCTATTTGCTCCTTGATCCCTATAGACATATTGGTCAATTTTTAGGTCCTTGAATTTGTCGCATACTTCCGATCAATGATTCTTTCCAAATTCCATTCTATCCTTCAGAAATATTCTTCTACCATTTCTCTAAACAGTCATTCTTCAACTCTTGAAGGATGCACCATCAAAGACTTTTCCTCAGGCCACAGACAGGATGAGGCTTCCCCATTAAATCCTGTTACCATATTACATGCTTCCATATTTGCCAGTCCATAACTATAGGTTGATTTCTGAAATTGCTAGTTAGTGTCTATCTCCACCACTAGACTCCAAATACTATAGGGCAGAAAACTTCACCAATGCTGGGCACAGAGCCAGTTTATTATAGATGTTTAAAATATATTCATTTATTTTGAAATATATGAATGAATACATAAATAAAAAGGTCTTCTATTATATGTGTGTATGTAACTTTTTTGTGTGTGTGGTCATCGTGGTGGTAGATGTGTTACAACAAATCAGTTCCCAAATATCCAACTATCTTAAGGCTTCCTTGTTTGTTCTTTTTTTAAATAAATATTTATTTTATAACTATTTTATTTGTAAAAATGTTGCAAAGATAGAATGGAGAGTTCCAACATTTTCCATACCCAATTCCCCTATTATTAACATCTTCCCTTGGTATGGAACATTGGTCAACATTAAGGAACCATGCTGATACAATTATTATCAACCACAGTCAATACTTTACTTTATTTAGATTACTTAGTAGTTACCTAATATCTTCTTCTGCTTCAGGATCCTACCCAAGATACTACATTACATTTAATCATCCTGTCTCCTTAGGTTCCTCTTGCCTATTACAGTTTTTAAGACTTACCTTGTTTTTTGATGACCTTCACAACATCGAGGAGTGCTGCTCAGGTATTTTGTAAAATGTCCCACAGTTGATATTTGTCTGATTTTTTTCTCATGATTAAACTGGGATATGTGTTTTGGGATGGACAACCATAGAGGTAAAGCACCAATCTCTTCACATTATATCAAATGTGTATAGGGACTCAAAAATGTATCCCAAAGTATGGTGCCTTGGGATGCTGAGTATTTTGAAGTAAAGGAGATTGGAATTCCTCAGAAGCAAAGTCTCTGGCCCCTCTTTCTCCTGTGAAATAAACCATAGAAACTAAACTCCCTCTTCCCCAAGATTATAAAAACTAGACCCTTCTTTTCCAAAACAAGCCATAAACCCTAAAACTATTACTATCATCTTCTCCCACCTTTCTGTATAGCAGCTGGCCATAAAGAAATACTCTGACCTACGTTGTTTGATAGTAGGCCATAAAACATTCATTGCTAAGGTCCTGCCCTATATGTAGGAGGAGGGACTGCTGCACAGAGAGGTCAAGAAGAATACAAACAGACAGGGCTTACTGGGTTATTTCTCTCAGTCTATTACCATGAGATCATACTCTTTTGCCCAAATTTCTGCAACACTGGCCATAAGCATAAGATTTAAGCATAAAAATAGATAATTTTCCCTGGGTCTTTGGCTCTCTTTTCTGAAGTCTCCCATGTCATATAAAACTTTGATTAAATAATTTATTATGCTTTTCTCTTGTTAATCTGTCTTTTGTTATAGGAGTGTTGGCCATGACCCTTATGATGGGTAGAGAGCAATTATCACACCTCTATCACCCCAAAAGGGCCATGCTATTAACATAACTTACCATTGTGAATGTTAACCTTGATCACCGGGCAGAGGTAGTGTTGGTCAAGTTTCTCAAACTGTTAAACGATTTCACCATGTTTTGATACTGTACTCTTCGAAAAGAAGTCACTGTGTGCATCCCATACTTAGTCAGTGGGGAGTTATATATAGTACCTTCAAGACAGAGTATTTACATAATTATTTGAATTCTTTTACATGACAGATTTATGTATTTCTCTCCATTTATTAATTTATATATTTATAGATTGTATCTGTACAGACTCCTCTATATTTATTTTATAAGACTTTATTTTGTGGCTCAAACTCTTCCAGCTTTAGCCTTCAGGAGTGATTTCAGTTGACTACTCTGTCCCTTTGACATATCTCTAACATTGTGGGTGGTTGTCGTTTCTTTGAACATATCCTTACTTTATGGCACTGAAAGATGCTCAACATTCATCTTGTATATTTCTTACCCCAGCCCTAGAGCCTGCCGTTTCTTCGAGGAACCCCAGTTCCCTTTATTGGAGAATATTTCTTCTGTTCTGCCTACTTTTCCTTCTTCTGGCATTCCAATTATGCATATGTTACATTTTTTGGAAATTATCCCATAATTCTTAATTATTTTTTATTCTTTCTCTTTGCATTTCAGTTTGGGAAGTTTCTACTAACCTACCCTCAAGCTCACTGATTCTTTTCTTGACCATATCAATGTTAGTGATATATACAACACTGCTGGAGTGTTTTTGATTTCTAGACTTTCTTTCAATTTTTTCTTAGGGTTTCCATCTTTCTGCTTACATTATTCATGATTTTTTGCATATTATTTACTTTTTTTATTAGAAATGTTATTCTAATATGTTAATTTTATATTATGTATAGGTTTTTCAAATTGATATTATTCACAATTATTTCAGATTCCGTGTCTCATAGTTCCAAAATTTATATCATATCTAATATGATATAAATGATTCTAATGATTGCTTTATCTCTTCAGATTTTTTTTCTTCTCTGTTGCCATGCCTTGTAATTTTTTATTAAAAGCCATATGTTTTATCAGGTAAGATAAACTGAGGTAAATGGGCTTTTAGTGTACAAATTTATGTTACTCTGGCAAGGAGTTGCACAATGTTTAAATGTTTGTCCTAGTTGTTACAGTTTTGAGATCAGAGGCCTCAAGTTTCTCTAATGTATTTGTTTTTGTCTCTATTCTTGGTTTTGGGTTCCCCTATATAGTCTTCTTCAGAGACAGCTTATGTATTTCAGCTCTTTTAGCTGTAATCCACTGTTGTTATACTGGAGCTTTGTTGGATGCTGGTAAAGTATGAGAGAGGGGAGTGTTCAAAATATTTTAATTAAATCTTAGTCCTTTAGTAGGCCAGTGCATTGGGGCTTCACAATACAGCTTTTTCTTCTTTTGCCTCTGCCCCTCTATATGCTTCCCTGGTTGCAGTATTTCTATTTATTTCCTTGAAACTCTGACCCCCGTGGCTTATATTTACTTCCTCTTAGGTGAGACAGGAAGACTGAAAGAGGCTGGACTGAAAGGAATTCTCTTCCTGAAACTGGGATAAGTCTCTAACAATTTCCCCTGGATCATAGGGCTTGGATATGGAGAATGTCCTGGGCATATTTCACAATGGTCACTCTCCTCCTCCCTGTAACAGAGTAAGGAGAGTATCTTTCTGAGTTCTTCACCATAAAAACCTGGTGGAGTTCCTGGAGGTAAAGCCCCAAACATGTGGAAGTTCCCTTAAGACAGCAGCACCCGGGAATTTCCCACTATCATCACTAGTCTAGACTCAGTCTCCAGCCATTCATCGAAGTGTTTCAGTGTTCCTACCACTTTAGGAATCCAGCTGCTCCTGCCCCTGGTAAGAAGATCTCAGCTATGTTCCTCTGGATGAACCCATCTCTCCACTTTTGAGGATGGCAGTTTGCCCCGCAACTTCAATTTTCTCATGGGTCCAAGAAAATTTGTTGATTATGAATTTGTCTATTATTTTCTTATTTTAAGGATAAGAGTGACCAGAGTCTTTACATGTCTGACCTGAAATCAGAGGTCCCATGCCAGCTTTTATTTGTAAAACACATCTTTCCATATTTCCATCTGTGGTCATCTTTATGTTTTTCTAATTTTTCTGTGGTGAATTTCACTGTTCCTCAGATTTTCAGAAAAACTATCTAGATTCAGTTCAAATTAAGTTTTGCTAAAAATATGACTACCCCCTCCTCCCCAAATGTCAATGTAATTATCTAAGTTAAACATTAATATTCCCATGTGAGCTATTCTATTCATGGTCTGGTGAAATTAACTGAAGTTGAGAATCACTGGTGAAGAACTTAATCAAGATTAATACCTTCATTTGAAAAGGTTGATGATGTGGGTGAGCACATTAATGGTTTCATCCATTAAATCTTTTGGTGCTGAGAATTGATGTCCTTGTCCTACTTAGGTAAAGAATTTTTATTTCATGGCAGAAACAAGATTATTTATAAATTGAACTATAGAAGTAATTTTTCTCGATTGACAAAAGGTACAATTTTTGCCTCAAGCCTTTATTTAGTGGCTCACTGTATATCAGGCTGTTCCCAAATCAGTCAAAATTTGACAGGGGTGGTGGAGGGATTATCAGACAGCCTCCTTCTCATTTTAAAAAATTAATTTACCAATTGAAAACGCATGGTTTAGTACAAATAAAATGTCTACTAAAAATTATCTAAAATGTGATTTCCTTTTTTGGTAAAATACATGTAGAGTGTTGTGGATGCATATTTTAAAAACTAGATATAACAAAAGCATAGAGCAATTACATGTGATTTTTTCTTTTCTCCTTTTTGTTTGTATTTTCTCTGTTTTACATAACAAACAAGTACTGCTTTTGTAAAAGAAGAAAACCATAAAAGTTAAAACAAAAGGACTAGTTTATAAAATCATAGGACTTTAATAAAATTTGGGGTTTATTGTCAAGCCAGTTTCTAATTTCTTCTGTTGAGGAAACTGAAGCACAGAAAAACTAATCTTCTTAAATCTTCTAATTTCTCACTTTTGCCTATCAGAATAATAACCATCACTAAAGGCACTGCTCACATATACAAGCTTTGGCATTTCTAATACAGCATATGTTATGTCTCATCAATTTTAAAGTTTTTCCAGTATAGTCATAATACTTAGGAGGGGGAAGAAGAGAAGAGAGGAGCTGTGAGAAAGATAATAGCTTTTATGTACTATTTGGCAAGCACTTAACTGTGTATTTTGTGTTATTTTAATTAATCCTTACATTACCTTCATGGTATAAATATAATTCCCATTTTGTAGAATAAAGAAGATCAAACAGATACAATTTTACAAATCTTCCCTGTCGCAACCTATAGAACTCGTATTTTTACACAGTTCTTTGTGTAAGTTGACCTACAGTAGATACTCAGTAAATATTCATTTAATAACTGAACTAATTTAGAAAGCATTTGGTATGCATGGACCAGATTTTTAGTGTTTATCAGTGGACTGCCAATTCTTCACTAAATTCACAACTGAAAACCAACTTTGACCACAAGTAGTGTTTCAAGTTCAGATCCTCTAATAAACAAAATTGTTTTCTGTCATGGAAAAAATCAACACCATTTCTTCCACTTGGCTTCCTTGTTCTCTTCGTTATTGTGCTTCAAAATGTTGAAAATGGTTTTCTAAAATTGTATTCATTTTGTTTGAAGCCTTATCACTTCTTTTTCAATACCACCTTTTCTACCATGTACCAACCTTTGACCTGCTAGCTTAAAATGTACAGCTAAGTAACGATAGCTTACTTATTTAGTACTTTCACAAAAACTATCATATTGGAAACAGGTAGGACATATATTATTACTCTTATTTAAGGATGAGGAGGCTAAGTCTCCAAGTTCAGTGATTTTCTTAGAGTTATACAGCCAGATGAAAACACAGAGCTAGGCTTCAAGAAGAGTTCCCCAACTCCAGCTCTTGTGTTCTTTCTTCTATGTCATATGACTCAATAATGCAAAGCCATTCTCTTTGTCATATTGTTAATGGCTCGCTATAAACTACCTTACAACTTGAGTTTCTACTCCATTCTTACTGGACTTTTTTCAATCCTTTAATTTTTTAGTTTTTGTTCCAGTCAAAGTTTTTAGTTGCATGAAACAGAAACTAACTCTGCCTGATTTAAGTAGGAAAAGAATTTGCTGAGAGGCTATTGAGTAGCTCACAAAATCATGGAGCAGCAGGCTCAGAAACAGGTGAGAATAAGCAAGAAGGGCATCAGCTAAGACAGCTGCCAAAACCATGCTATAGAACACAGGGCACTTGCTGGGCAATGGATTCCTTTGCTGGTACATCTGGCTTTGCTGACCCTGAAAACTGAATATTGTTATACCAACTGCCACTGCCCATTTCTAGGATGGTTTCTGATTATCCCTGCTTCTTTGTGTCACTATCTCCTGTTTCGAAGTCATGAATGAGTATGTCAGATTGGCAGAATATTTATCATATGGTCATACTCTAACTTTAGAAAAAGCCGAGAAACAAAGTTTAAGTATCTAAACCATTGTCATTGGAGGTAAGCTCTGTCTCCCATCAAGACTCATTAAGCCCACACTTCACCTATCACAACATGAATGTTTAAATTATTGAAAGCCTCCCACCAGAACCAAAAAAATGACCAAATTCCAGCACTGTTTCCAATTTAGTTTTATATGTTCTTTCTCTGGTCTTTCTTTGGGAATACATTTAATTTACAACTATGACTCAATTGTCACTCAACCAATAGTTACCTTTATTTTGCAGCATTCTGAAGGTTCAAAACGCAATGTGTAAGTTTTATTCACCTGCTAAGAATTATTTTTTCAAAGCTTGCCTCAATATTTATTTTAAATGAGTGAACTTCAAGGCCTGAAAGAATAAACTGATACTTTATGAAATATTTTTGAAGTATAAAGAATATATTCAACATCTTTCCATGTCTCCAGATTTTAATATATGCCTTATTTTATTTAAAAAATTTTCAAATGTTTCTTTTATACACAATATGTTTCTTAGTCTGAATAACCCTTTCCTCTGCAGTATTTTTGAGCAGTGGCTCCGAAGGCACCGTCTTCTTCAAGAAGTTTATCCGGAAGCCAATGCACCCATTGGACATAACCGGGAATCCTACATGGTTCCTTTTATACCACTGTACAGAAACGGTGATTTCTTTATTTCATCCAAAGATCTGGGCTATGACTATAGCTATCTACAAGATTCAGGTAAAGTTTACTTTCTTTCCGAGGAAATGCTGAATCTAGTGTTACCAATTTATTTAGAGATAACACAAAACTTTATGCTTCGACAATGTTATTCCTGAACCCTTTAAATCCTGAAAGTACCTTATAATCCTTAATTTATTACCAATTCATTATCACAGGAGTCAAATTCTGAAGATCTTTAAAGTCATAGTCATGGCAACCATGGGAAGAGCAGTCGAATCAGAAGAAGAAAAAAAAAAGGTTTTGAGAAATGACTCTATCAACTGACTGTAATGTGACCTGGGGAAATTTGCTCTGCATCCCTGAATCTCAGTTTATTCACCTGAAATCCTGGGACCAGAACACCCTAAAGAATTATTGAGAATGATACATTAATGAACCTAGTACAGTGTAACACAGGGTAAACATCCAGCAGTTTTGGAATCATTTTTGGAAGTTTCTTGCTAGGGTTACCAAGAAAATTTGTAGAAATCTTGAACTTAAGTGTAGTTAATAATAATAGCTATTATAATGTTTATTGCTCTATGATGAAGATAGCAATATAAAACCCCAGGATTAGAATTAGATTTGGGCTCTAAATAATCTTCCTGCATAGAACCATGTCAGTATCTTCTTGACAAAATGAGGAACAGATAGTAGTGTTTCCTTCTACCTGAAAGTCCACTACATGCATATTCTTTACATGTATTATTAATAAACCATATAGGAGGTAAGTTTTATTCTTCCAAGATAAAGGTGAGGACACTGATACCCAGAGAATTTAAGTGACTTTCTCAAAATCAAACACCAATAATGTGGAGAAGCAAGATTTCAATTCCAGGAGGTCCTCCTCATCTCACCACACTGTAATTCACCTAACACATGAGGGTTAATTATCAAAAACAGTGTGGCTTGTGGGTAGGAGGTATTTAACAAGCATTGATGTTTCATTGTATTCATTGATAATGACACATAAATACATAAATAAATAAAATAAACAAATGAATGAAACTCAACCCTCTCACTCTTGTGCTCGAATTCAGTGATACATGACTGCCATAGTTTCATACCTGAAGAAGCTCCAGTGTGGAAGTAAGACAATTGTGCAAGGAAGTAAAAAACATCAGGCTGTGTTATGTGCAGTAAAAGAGTCATAAAGAAAATCCCACAGCAGTGCTAAAGAGAAAGCCATGACTTTTGAAGGATTCAACCTAAAAAGAGAAAACGAGGCCTTGAGAATGAGTAAGCAGGTAGCAGATAGAAAAGGGCAGGGGATATGCTAGGCAAAGAGAATAGCAAGAACAGTAGAGGTGGAAAATGTACAGCATATTTATGAAATGCTGAATTATTCTATTTGAGTAGGATGAACAGTGGAAAAGGACACAAAGAAAATAAGTTGACCCAGTTTATAACAGTTAACACATACTAAGTATTTTTTATTAGCCAGGAACTCTTCTCAATGTGCCCTATGCATTACTTCCTTAAATCTTCATAATTACTCTATGAAGTAGGTATCATTGTTTCTTTTTCTTTTTCATAGATGAGGAAACAGAGTCATAAAGAGTATAAATTGATTTTCCCAGGCCACTTACCTAGTATATGGTATAGTACATACACAATTTAGGGTTAACAGGAGAGTCTATAGGTTATCAACCTTGTTCTGCCCTTTGAGGGATGATTAATTGAAAAGATATGGGTTTAATTGAACTTTTCTGCTTTATCGGAAGACTGTAGACAATGGACAAAATGCTAACACAGCTGACAAAGAAGATCAGTTTTTGGAAAATCTTAAGATCACTAGGAACAGAGAAATTTGCAAAGGGTGGAGGTGTGGTAAGAGGAGGGGCTTCCTGTAAGTCTCAAGTAACATGTCTTCTCTTTCTTCTATGAAAACCACAGTACATAAAAAAGGGAGCTTATTGGTAACTATTTTTCAAAGATGTTCCATTTAGGATTCTATGATTTAGTATCTGTTTCCATTTCCAAAACATGCTAGACTTTCATGGGTTCATGCTTTTAAATATGCTATTGTTTCTGCCTGAATTCTGACTCTACTTCTCCATTTGTCAAACTCTCAGATATAAAAATCATTTTATACTTATAGTGATGTTTACTCACGCCTTTCTCATAGTTACATAGCATTTCTTTCTATGTATGAATCTGTCCTGGGTTTTATTCTTCCCCAAACCCCCAAGATCAGAATTTATCTTGCAAGCTTCTCCATTCTAAGCATCACATTGTATCTGGTATGGACTGAAATCAATAAATCAATTTGAGTGCAAGTGATATTTATCATGAAGTGTCATTTCTCTTAACTAATATAAATGAAGTTTTCTAGAAAAATGCCACACCTCTTAATACTCAGGTCACTTTTGGATATATATTTTAAAACACTATAAGTATTCTATCATGCCAGGTGTTTTTTTTTTTTTATGTGTCTGTACTGAGTCGTTTATTCTTTACACACACATTTATTCAATAAGTACTTTGAATAAGACATTGCCTTAGATACTATGGATACAATGGTAAACAACATAGTCTCTATCTTCACAAAGTTTATAATGGAAGAGAAAGATCTTAACTGCTTGCTTAAAAACTCATTTATGTAGAGATATGTCTAAATCCAGGGGTCAATGAAGTGATATTTCAGATGACATCAATATGACAGGTAGAATTAACTAGTTGAAAAAGAGGACATGGTTATGAATTTGGGCCATATTGTTAGAATAATGCTAGCCACTGATAAATTTTAAGCAGGTTATAATCAAATTTGAATTTTCAAAAGATTATTGCAGCTTCAGTATGCAGAAAAATTTTAGTAGTTGGAAAGCACATGCAGAAAGGCAGTGAAAATGCTATTATAAGAGTCTGAGGAAGAGGTAAAGGCAGTTTAAGTTGCAGTGGTGGTGGCAGGAAGGGAGATAGAAAGCATCATTAATTTGATATTATTTTGAAGGCAAAATTTACAGAACTTGGAAAATTATTTATATACCAGATGAAGGAGATTAGGAATGGCTTTATGCTTTCTGGCCTGTGAAACTGATGAATGGTAGTATAATTCACTCATATAATAACAAGAGGAGCAAAGAAAGACATGGAGGAAAGCTTATGGTTTTGTTATACAGTGAAATGAAGTTATATGGGACGGCAAGGTAAATTTCTCTTGGGAAGTTGGATACACAGGCCTGAAACTCAAAAACAGTGTCTGGCCATCAGATCCGAATGTGAGAGACATCAGCATATAAATTATTGACTCGGCTAATTTTTAAAACCCATGGAAGGGTGATTTTTATTCTGTTTTACAGGTAAGTAAATTGAGACTCAGGAAGATAAAGTGATTAATTTTAAACTACAAAGCTAGTAAGTGTCAAATATTGAATCCAAACTTCATCACTCCATCACTGCACAGAGAAGAGAGCTCCCTTTAACCCCTATATTGTCTTCTACACATATGCTCCACCTCTTTGTTCCTTCCCTAGTGTCCAAATGGATACTTTTTACTACAAAGGCAACAAAATTTCCTGGATGAGCCAGGGGAGAAGAGGCTCAATGAGTCATATTAGAGGCTTGAAGGTATTTATTTCCAATTAAATTTAAAGAAACAATTTATTTGAAATGCTTTAGAGTAATTTTCACACAGCTTTGAATTTACAAAGTTAATTTTAGAGAAGTTTGACTTTAAAATAAGCAACAGCAGATACTTAGGAAGCTGAGGCAGGAGGTTCTCTTAAGCCCAGGAGTGTGAGGCCAGTTTGGGCAACACAGCAAGACTCATCTCTAAAAACAAAGCAAAACAAAACAGCTAAACTAAGTAACACCAATTGCCTATTTTCTATTTTATGAATTTTTCCATATTGTTGCTTCTGTTGTACTTTCAAGGAGTTTAAAATTTATCTCTATTCATAGCTGAATTTTAAGCTTACTAAAAATTTATTTAAAATTTCTTGATATAATTTTGTTCAAGGGGATTATTATTCATCAACCAGGTACTCATGTTTATAATTAATTAAGTGGTTTCTGTAAAAAGGCAGCTGATGTCTGCCATTTATCAAACTTTTTCTCTTATAATTGAATTTAGTGATTCTTTAGAAAATTGAGTAGCAGGTGATTTTCTCATATGTA
This sequence comes from Homo sapiens, assembly GCF_000001405.40. NCBI lineage: Eukaryota > Metazoa > Chordata > Mammalia > Primates > Hominidae > Homo > Homo sapiens. The sequence continues at coordinate 49,411,471 of NC_000011.10, read as the reverse complement.
TAACTAATTTACAAGGGGAGGCCAAAAATCTTTGGCAAAGAAGGATTGTGTCCTCAATGTTGTTGATAAATGTAATCTTACTTTCTACATAGCAGAAAAACTCTGTTGAGAGCTTCCTTCTTCCCATACGTTACAAAAGACCTGGAAATTTGGTTTCAAAAATGAGAAGGGGAAACACTGTTCAGAGTAACTGCAGTGTCCCATTCTGCCAATGGAATTTGATGACACTTCTATCATTCATGAATTTGTTCAATAGCTCTGTTTGGCTGTGTATACCTGTGTGCATGCTGTTCCTTTCTGCCTAGGATGGATTGCCATCAACATTATATGCTCAGAGTCTAATTCATTCTTTTACTCAGTGGGACAGTCTTCTGGGGTGCCTTCCCTAACTTCACAGAGATGTAGGAAGTCTTTTCTCCATGATCCCTTTGTATCTTCATCAGAACAACATTACTCTCGAAATGAGTTGTTTACCTGCCAGGTGCTGAGGGTGAAAAGGTAAATGAGACAGAGTGCCCCCCAACTCCCTGCCGACAGGTAGTGTATCTCAATGAATATGTGGTATTTTAATAAATGAATTGAAGAAAGATAAAACAAGTAAGACATAATACTTGCTCTTGAGAGTTTGTGACAAGCTTGAAAAATAAGACATATATAAATAGATATAATTATAATAAATGGACATTTGTGCCAAATATCACAAGGCAGCAAAGAAACTAGTTTGAGAATCCAGAAGAGAATGGAGCTGAGGAGTCAGCAGCTGAAGCAAGTTTGGAAAGAAAAACTCATATTGTAAGCTGATTTAGTTGAAATATTGATGAAACTATCATTCTATCATGATAAGAATCAACAGCAGTTGTAAATTGTTTTCTATATGGTAGACATTGTACCAAGGGCTATACATACATTGTCTAGTTTAATCACTCCAGGCAGACTCCTAATTCATTAGAGTAATGGCCACTAACTACTTCATGTGTTTGTTTTGTGAATAAATGGGCATGTTAATGCGCTTTGGAAATGATAGAGCATAAAACAAAAATCTACATAATTATTCTGAAAAGAATGGATGACAAGAAAAATAGGACTTCACATAGGGAAAGATGACCAAAAAATTACGACATTGGAACAGAAGAAAAAGGTGCACTATTGGGGCTCAAACACAGATGGCTTAGAAAGAAAGTCTGAATTTTAAGAATGTTGAGAAATAAAAATGTCTCAAGGACAGTCCCTTGGTGACAGTAAAAATTGAGACCACTTGGAATGAATTGAAGTGGAGCAATAGTAAGAGAAGCTGGAGAACAGGACCGACATAGAAATAGTATTTAGAAGCTGTGAAAGCACTTCAGCTGAGCCTTTAACAAAAAAGAAAATATTTATTATGTAGCCTCTATGTATCCTGCCTTTTTTTGGACATTTTAAATGTACTATGTATTGAAGCCACTAACAGCAATTTAAGCTAAGTATTATAGTCCCATTTTCAAAATAATTTTAATATATATTAAAAACAGTAATTTTCAAGGTCTAGGGTTTACCCTGGATTATATAGTCCATGATGGCTCGCCAACAACCTGTCTGTATTCTAGCTAGTCAGAAAGGAAAAGGTAAATGGTCAAAGATATACTTTTTTCTTTTTAAGGGAACTTCCCCCAAAGTTATACATACATTTTTGCTCTAGACTTGAGTCACATAGGCATGACTTGCTGCGAGGTAAGCCCAGGATGCACTCTCTTCTTTATGCTATGTCAAAAAGTAAATTTATAGTATCTTCTGTGTATGTTCTACATACATATCTTCTATATACATTATAGAGAGCATCTTCTATAAAGGAATTGTTTTGTTAGAAAGAAGCCATTTGCTCTTACTGAACAGATACTCAGTACAGACTTCCTCATTTACTCAAATCTTATAGTCTCCTAAATAGATTCTATAGTTATAGTTACATAAAATTTAAACATCTCTCCTTAACTGTTACATGCCTTAAATATGTAGTTGATTGTGTGAATGAGATTTGTTTTTCATTAAAACAAATCTTCCCATTTCCACAGCTGCCATTCAGGGACATTCCTTCAACATATCTTCTGGGTCCAATAACACATTCAGTCATTCAGTAAACATGTTCATTCTCTCATATGTGTTTCAGACACTGTACCAGATTCTAGAATTAAATCAATGATGTAAGCATACTATTGGCCTTCAAGGAGCCATTTTAATAGAAACAATAGGTTAATTGTTGATGTACAGGGAAGTTTAATTTATGTAATCCTTATCTAGCAGTATTTTATTTTTTTACTAAGCATTATCTGATTATGGATTTCCTAAATATATAGTTATATCATCTATTAATTGCATCAGGTACTTTTAGTAGCATGCTTTCTAATTGTATCAGTAAAAAGACTTTTTTTTTTATTTTGGAAAATTAATAGAATAAACCAAAAATAAAAATCACCTGTAATCTTATTGTTAGATTGATCACTTGTGCTGTTTTAGTCTCCATTGTACTTTTTCTTATACTTTTTTCCACATACACATAAGTTTTTAAGCATATCTCTTAATTAATTTTGCTTTATCAAATATTATATGCATGTTATTTTACAAGCCAAAGAATGCTGCAAGTCTTATAACAAAAGGTTTATGCCCCTATATCAGCTACTGTAACCCTTTTAGCTATTTATTCTGCTATATTGCCCTGTATTTCTAAATGATAGGGAAATATTACTCTCTGTTAATTCATCAAGTTTATCTTTGGAGTTCCTCATATTTAAATAATGATTTTAACTCTCTTACAGCTTCCCTGTTCTTTCATTCATCTTCTCAGTATAGTATTATCATATTTGGGGGCAAATCCACATCTAGGAATTTTATTGTTTTTACTACTACAATATTATTTACAGTTCAACCAAATAGCATGCTATGATTACATTTGTTTTCCTACATTACTTTTCTATTGGAATTAAGACTCTTTTTTTTTTTTTTCATTTTAAAGCACCCATCACTGTTTATACCAAATTTTAAAAGGAACTGTAACTACTACCTCATAACATAGTGAAATATGAGTAATTTATAAATTTTTTCCCTGGGTGACATCCTTTTGTGTACGTCTCCCCTTCTCATTCCACAGCTGCCATTCAGGGACATTCCTTCACCATATCTTCTGAGTCCAATAACACATTCAGTCATTCAGTAAACATGTTCATTCTCTCATATGTGTTTCAGACACTATACCAGATTCTAGAATTATATCAATGATGACAATATACTATTGGCCTTCAATGAGCCATTTTAATAGAAAAAAAATTCATGTAATAGATAACTGGAATATAATGTGATGGGTACGATAATAGAGGAAATGCTAAGCCAGTAACATATTGGATGCTGTCTCTCCCCAATGCCATGTTCTTATGTGGTTTGAAGGAATATAAATAATCAGGAGGCTAAAGACTTTTCCTTGTTCAGAATTATTGTTAAAATATATGTGGTCAAAATCTGTTGTTGCTTTTTAAAGCAATGTAAAATGATTGACCACTATTCACCTTTATTTACAATAAAGGAATCAACATACAATTGGATAACATTCTGATTACTACCAAGTTATTGTTTTTCCTGGTTTCTGCTGAACCAGCAAATCAAATATTGAAAGGACTGAGTCTACATGTAAGGAATTAGTTAAGGTAAAGAAAAAATATGCAAGTCAATACATTACAAAAGTTGTTCATCTATTTATGGCAGCAGATTCTAAACTGCCAAATCTCCAACCATCTGATTGGGTTCCTAAAGCCAAGTCTTCGACATCCCATGAATCATTACCTTTTAGTCAGTATAGCACAGGGATTTCAACTTTTTGTAAAGGAATGGCCTGGTAGAGGAATCTTTAAATGTCCATTAAATTAAGTCTTGTTTAGATAATTAAAACAGAGCGGGATCTGTCTAGTTCCCTCATCTGGTTGGGGAGGTTGTTGGTAGTAATAAAATTATTCCTTTTAGGAATTTTGCAAACAAACTGTTCATTTATATGACTAAAGGTGTAGATAGGGATTCTTATATGGCTACTATTAAATGATTCATTTAAATTGTCCAACTAATTATAGAATCATCTGTTTTATTTGAAATGTATGGCTTCAGGAAAATTTTGAATTTAATTTGATGTGATTTATTTCTTAGGTTGCTCAGAATGATGGCATCTCAAAAACATGGGCTTACCCGTGATTTTTGTTTGGTGAATGTTTAAAAACAACACAAAAAGCCATTTAAGTACACATTTTAGGCATACACACACACACACACAACCCAGAATGGTCCTTAGGCTAAACGCAAGTTCTGATTGAGTAATGACTATGGAAATTTTCCCCGACATTTAGAAGTGCTGTTCTCTAATGCAGAGGAAATAATACATCATTTTATGAATACATGCATAAAATAACAAGATATCAAATGTTCTTTTATGATAAAGGAAGCAACTACAGAAAGCTTTTATTTGTTCAAAGTAACCAGTGGTATTGATGAAAAAAAAACCACACACACCAAAAAAACCCAACTCTCCCAATACTACTTTTAAAATTAACATATAAAAACTGATTTTCATTAGAATGTAGTTATTTTCCCACACTAGTTAATTAAAAGCCAAGACCCAGATTTTATATATATATATACAGATATATATATATATATATACAGATATATATATATATATATATACAGATATAGATGATAGATAGATAGATAGATAGATAGATAGATAGATATCACAATGCAAACAATTAAGCTTCATCATCTGGACAAGAATGCCAACTTAGTCTCTCTTTGTAAAAAAAATTACAATTTCAAGACACTTCATATTTGCCTCTTTTGCCAGCACCAAGTCGGCCTGATGTGAATATTCCCATTTCAGGAGAAACATCCATTCTCCACTGCTGCCTGTGGCACCAATTATTCTTTCAGGATCAAGATCTCTGGTGAAGCCTCTTGGTTTGTCGGCAGCATCTCTTGTCTTCTTTGATTTGCTGTCATTAGATTCATTGTCAGATAAAGACTTTCTTTCTTTTTGTACTTTTTTCTTTTTTTACCAGCTTTTTGAGAATTAAGGAATGTTTCAATTAACTCTGGACAATCTAAATTTTCTGCGGGTTCCCAAGTACTGTCAACATCTGACGTCTCTTCCACTTCAGGAAATGCTCCACCTTCCCTTTTGCTATAATTGGATCCAGTAGTTTTTCCACAAATTCTTCAGGCTCTGCCTCTTCGACTTTTTTACCCTTTTCATTCTGTTTTTTTCCCTCCCTTTTTAAAATATTTATGTTTATTTTTTGCACTGTAGTTTCATTTAAGGCTTTTGGGGTTTTTTTGTTTGTTTTGATTGTTGTTGTTTGATTTTGGCAGACCTAAAGGGCTATTATTCTTACATATATCGGCTCCCCTAAGCCCCGCCCCTCCAGGCTTTACTTTCAGTGTCCTGAGGCCTATAAAGGCCAGGCCCCTGCCCTCCAGCAGGGAGTGCACCTCCGAGGAGAAACAAAGGCCCAGAGTGCGGGCGCTCCAGGGTACCGCGGCACAGGGCCCGCTCCTATGCCACTGCGGCCGGGTAACCAAGAGCGCCCCCCACCCCTGAAGCCTTAGGACAGAGGGACGGCGCCCATGCGCCAAAATCTGTTTCAAGATTTAAGACTGTGACCTCTGTGAATACAGAGATTGTTCAAATGCCCTGGGGTTCTTGGGAGGCTTCTAAGATTACTGAGCATTTGCCAACATTACTATTAATGTTTGTCAAATAATTAAAGACTGGATTAGTGAATGGTTAATGATATAACAGTGTTCTATTGATAATTGGAATAGTTACAACAACCTTTTACAGAAAAAGATGGAAAAATCACAGCTAACATTTAATTGAGTACACACTATATACCAGGCTCTGAATCACTTACGGATGTTATCTATAAAATTCAAACGTTCCAACAAGGGGGGTATTATTTTCCTATTTTTCTGGTGAAGAAACTGAGGCTTTGGAGTATTAGGTATAACTTTCCCAAGCTCTTACAGCTAATAAGTAGTAGAGCTGGTCTTCAAACCCAGGCGTCTACTCCAAAGGACTGCGAAAGGATGAAGATGATGGTGATCGTAACAATGGTGGTAACAATAAAAACAATGGGATGTCTTTTTATTTCAGACCCAGACTCTTTTCAAGACTACATTAAGTCCTATTTGGAACAAGCAAGTCGGATCTGGTCATGGCTCCTTGGGGCGGCCATGGTAGGGGCCGTCCTCACTGCCCTGCTGGCAGGGCTTGTGAGCTTGCTGTGTCGTCACAAGAGAAAGCAGCTTCCTGAAGAAAAGCAGCCACTCCTCATGGAGAAAGAGGATTACCACAGCTTGTATCAGAGCCATTTATAAAAGGCTTAGGCAATAGAGTAGGGCCAAAAAGCCTGACCTCACTCTAACTCAAAGTAATGTCCAGGTTCCCAGAGAATATCTGCTGATATTTTTCTGTAAAGACCATTTGCAAAATTGTAACCTAATACAAAGTATAGCCTTCTTCCAACTCAGGTAGAACGCACCTGTCTTTGTCTTGCTGTTTTCACTCAGCCCTTTTAACATTTTCCCCTAAGCCCATATGTCTAAGGAAAGGACGCTATTTGGTAATGAGGAACTGTTACTTGTATGTGAATTAAAGTGCTCTTCTTATTTTAAAAAATTGAAATAATTTTGATTTTTGCCTTCTGATTATTTAAAGATATATATATGTTTTATTGGCCCCTTCTTTATTTTAATAAAACAGTGAGAAATCTACATTAACTGACTCCTTTAGGCTTCAGAAACACATTTTTATTTTCTTCAGAAAGGATGATATTCCCCCATATTTTACATTTCTGCTCCAAAATACATTATGGACTTCAAATAGAAAACAACCTTTAGCTCTTTCCTGTCATAGCTCTGACGATATTTTTTAAGGTCACTGAGAACAAGGGCCCAGCGTCTAAGTGCCTGTCTCAAGATGTGTCCATTAAATATTTTAATGATGATAACTATATTAACATCTTTTCACCTTCTAAAAAGTATCTTATTAGAGAAAGTTTAAAATGCAATCAAACATTTGAAGTTTGAACAATTATCTGAATATTAGCCTTTCTGTAGTTCTAGTAAAATAACTCATTTCCATTTTCCTTGCCTATTAAGATTTCAAATTAGAATGTTCAGATAATCCTACTACTTAAATTTTGGGGCCCTATTGATTTCCAAAAAAAGTACAATTGATATTGCATTTGTATTATGGCTATGCATAGCATAAAAGACTAGGACCAGTAGGAAGAAGTTATAGTGGGCCCATTTTAGTTCAATAAGGGGAAACATTGTTTAATACTCCGAGTTACAAAATCAAAATGGACACCTTTGGACAATAATAAGTGGTAACCACAGGAAGTCTTCACATACTGGATTGGGTGGCTAATTTGATTTGGAATCTATAGAGAAAATTTAAGCAGTCTGTCTATATTATATTTATTTAAATTGGCTCAGGGTTCTTACCAACTCTCCCCACTGTAAAGCAAAGCTAACCATGCTCTATTAAAAGTATCTATTACTCTTCCACATTATTTCAGGGGTTTTCACCATTATTTCTTTTTTTTTTTTTTTTTTTTTTTTTTTTTTTTTGAGACGGAGTCTCGCTCTGTCGCCCAGGCCGGACTGCGGACTGCAGTGGCGCAATCTCGGCTCACTGCAAGCTCCGCTTCCCGGGTTCACGCCATTCTCCTGCCTCAGCCTCCCGAGTAGCTGGGACTACAGGCGCCCGCCACCGCGCCCGGCTAATTTTTTGTATTTTTAGTAGAGACGGGGTTTCACCTTGTTAGCCAGGATGGTCTCGATCTCCTGACCTCATGATCCACCCGCCTCGGCCTCCCAAAGTGCTGGGATTACAGGCGTGAGCCACCGCGCCCGGCCTTCACCATTATTTCTTCCAGCCTCCAACCAAATTAATTTACTTTGTCCAGGTCTTCCCAGTCTCTTCAGTTTCCTTATACCTAGTTGTGCTTGTCTGCTTAGGATTTTCAAATAGTATCTCAGTTTGACTACTTTTGTTTCCAGTGTCATCTTTGAACACCATACTTTCTCTGTCCCTTGGTGGCATATTAAAGGCAGACCTACTCAATCCAGGCTCCTAGAAACCTCTCTGGGTCTGGCATCTGAGCCCTACATCTCTGGGAAGGTAGTTAAGACACACAGGTTTTTATGAGGTACCTTTCAGTCACAAGATTCTATAACTACTAAAAGGTCTGCAGCATAGCATTCTGATAGTTTATAAATGCATTTAAAAATAAATTGGCTGAAAAATTTGAGCTCTTGGAAACATCTTTATCTGTATAAGGCTGACCTAAAATCAAGACCACATAATTTTCAAATGATTACTTTTTATTTCGTACCATTTTAGATTTCAAAGAGAGACAAATATCATCCTACTTTACACATGTCCTAACCACACACATGTCCTAACCACACATTTTGGTTAATTTTAAAATCTACAATAAGTAAAAATTTACAGTTATTTCTGAAGTTATCTTATTAATCATCAGAAATTCCTAACGGTTACTAAACTTGGTAGCAGAGCAGCAGTCATCTTCTGACTCTCATTAGTTGTCAGACTTAAGCTAGCATGTCTAATTTCTGATACTGACTGTAGGAAAATCTGGCAAGAAGTGGGGAGTAGCACACATGGACACAGTGGAAGTCTGTGGGAGGAAACGATAAATACCAGGGAGTATATCCTCAACTTAGTACACAACCAGCAAAAAAGATTTCAAGCAGATCATTAACAATGGTGTCTGAGGATTAGAGTCAATTGTAGATGGGAATTGAAGCTAGTTAAATGAAGAGCAAGAAGGAATGGGAAAAGAAATTTGCACAATAGTCTGTAGAAGATTCTGAAGAAGGAATAACGGTGATTGGGGGCACCTTTAGTCACAGATCACACGTGTGGGCGGGTCTGGCTTACCTAACAGGGGCCAAGGTGTTGTGGACACTGCAAAACAACTATGTGTGAGTCACTTATCTAGGAATGATTTGAAGGCAAGATTTTAGTCCAGGGTGGTATGTTTAAATCATTTTGGCAACACATTTTGAATAAAAGTCCACCTAAGAAATTGTCATTGTTACTGAGAGGGAGCCATATAAAGTCATTTTTTTCCTTTGTCACAAGCAATTCCCTCCATCACTGCACCTCAATCTAGAACATCATTTTGTTTCTCTAGAGACTTGAGTTGTCTATTTGTATAAAAGCAGCATCTATGATGAAACCATCATCACTTTAATTCCATGGTTTTCTCAATATGGCATAGAAATTACATGACTGATATTTCAAACTGACAGTTCCATTAAATTATAATCAACATTATATTCTATGGCTTTTTTACTGAGACCTTTACAAATTGCTTCATTTTATGCTTCTGCTCTGATTATTTTCCATTGCTACATTATAAGCCACATTCTGTTGAAAAAAAAAAAGAGAAATAAGCAGCTGCTACTCTTTCTTTAATCTTTCTGTGTTTTGTAAAAAAAAAAAAAAAAAAAAAAAAAAAAAAAAAAAAAAAGGATTTTTAGTATCCAACCTTTCCAACAAGTCAAATATATAATTCTCCATCTGTAGAAATTACATCTGCAGTTGGCACAAGTCATTTCAGCCAGTGTCTCCAGCAGGCTAACAACTGGCATTAGTGGCGGATGTTTTTAGCTTTTTCCTTGTTAGTGTAGGCTTTGATTTTGTGGGATTTCTTTGTCATCATAAAAAGGGCCTAACTGGGGCCACCTATTGTGAGTTTGTTTTGGAGGACATGTCAGTAAAGCAAAGTTCCACTCCCCCTCTGATTAGATGCCTTCTGAAAGCTGCTGAAATGCAAATGTGAAAAGAGTTTTGGTTTTCTAATAAACTTTTTATTGCTTATTTTCAAAATCATTTGCCATTTTGTACAATGTAATGAAAATTAAAATTGGCTATGGAAACCACTTAGACCTCAAGAGCTTTCAAACTATTCAGCTATTTAAAACAATATGGGAAGAATTTAAGTATTTTTTTAAAGAAAGGCTTGCCAAAATTCTATATTGTTCATGTTTATCTTATTGTTTTATGAGTTCTTTTCTTAATAGCAATGTAAGAAATTATTCTTATGACTTCATGTTCATCTTCCAATTTTTATGTTTCATAATCATGATTATAAGGCATATTCTTATGATTTCTAGTTTTTCAATTAGAAATAAGTAACAAAGATGTTACAATTTAGTCAGTAGTTGTGATATTCAAATAACTGTGCTAGGCACTTTCATGTATGTTAACTCATTTAATAATCGACATGTTACCAATATGAGAATAAGTACTATTCATAGTGTCAAAGGAGGAAATTGGTTGAAATGGGGTAAACACCTTCCCAAGTTTACATGTCTGCTCAGTAGTTTAGGTAATTTATCTTGGATTTGAGTTTAGTTATTCCTAGGTGATTCTTATTATAAATTTAATTGTTATATTTTACTCAATTATGTTGAAGTGTAATAACCAACTCCTTGCTACTAAACAGTTTTGATTTAGCTTTTGTCATCATTTTGTTTAATATTGTAATACATATCTTGGTTCATATACCATTTTATTTATCTTAGGTTATTTTCCAGGAGTAGGTTCTCTGGGTCAAAGCACATGAATACTTTTCATAACTTTTCTAATGGACTGCCACAGCGCTCTTGAAAAGGGTTGTGTGGACTTAAAAATGCAAAGAAAAGAGTCTAAAATAAAGGACATCGAAAGAATAAATGAGAAAATTAAAAGGTAAAGAACTTAGAAGAAAGAAGACATGCTGCAGTTATCTTTGAGGGGAACTGAAGAGCCTTATTTAAGTTAGAGCCTTAACTTCATGTGAATTTAACATGGCATAGGCTGAGATATTAAGTGCATTAAAGGTATGAGAAAATTTTTAACATATGTGGCATCTCAAGTCAGATTCTATGAATTTCATTCCTGGTTCAATCTCTCACTAGCTGCATAACCTTGTGTGAGTTATCTTACCTCTGTGTGCCCCAGTTTTATCATTGTTAAAATGCATGAAATAATAGTACTTTCCTCAGCATGTCCTGAAGAGTAAATCTGAAGCCTTTACAGTAGTGCATAAGTATTCATTATTATTTCACAAGTTCTCATAGAGTATGTTAACTCAACATGTTACCTGTTTTAAGAAGGAAAGATAAAAATATAACCACACATTTTGTTTTTCAATAATAATTTTGCCAAACCATGAATAGTAATGTACCTATTTAATAAAATGATATTATGATAAATTTACTTTGAAGACAGAGAAACATTTGGGGACTAGAAATATTAATCATGCAAGTACATAGACTTCTAGCTCATAAACAAAAGTTGGCTATTAAAGCATCTATGATGTGGTACTGGGCTTGAACCTAAAGCACATCCTTGGCCAACTGTCTCTAGCAGGATAAACTCCTCTGAGCTAGAGAGTGTTGGTTCACTTTTAATCATTCACTCATTCATTCAAGGAACAAGTCTTTATAGAACACCTACTCTGTCTTGGCACTTTGCTAGAGGTACAAATGTTAATAAGATTTAGTCTCTATTCACAGTGAAATCACAGTACTCTGAGAAACAAGCCTATGAGCACATCATTGCAAAATTATAAATACCATCATAAAGGAATATTCCATGTTTTATAGAAGTAATATAATTAATATTGCAGGGGTACAATATCATCAGGGGAGCTGTAGAAGGTTTCAAAGAAAAGCTAATAATTGAATGGTATTCCCAGAAGTTCACCAGGTAGATGAGGTGATCGATAATCTGAGCAAAATGATAACATGAGCAAAGGTAAGTGCCGACAAGCTATGGCTAATGGGCTAAATCCTGCCTGGCAGTTGTTTTTGTAAATGAAGCTTTATTGAAACACAGCCAAACTCATTCATTTACATTACATATCATCTATTGATGTTTTAATGCTACAATGGTAGAGCTAAGTAGTTGCAACAGCAACCATATGGCCCAAAGCCTACAGTATTTACTATCTTGCCTTTGATTGAAAAAGTCTGCTGACCCCTGGCATAAACCAAATCAGAAAAATTCAGATTAGATGAAGATAGATCAATGTAGATAAAAAAATCATGAAAAAGAACTTCACCTTAACAATTGAGAAAACAATAGTTGATTAGGGTTTTCGTTATTCTACTGTTTTGCCAGTTTATTTTAAAGATATAAAGTGCTTTGGTGCAGATATGTAGACATAGATATAGTAACAGACATACATACACACACAGACACACTCTGAATTATATGAATAAGGTATGTGGGATTTTAAATATTTTTTTCTGCCAGAAAATCTACAAATTTCCTAGATTTTTGTTTTATTGATCTTCTTTTTATTCCCTACTGTATCAGTCAATTTTCACGCTGCTGATATAGACATACCTGAGAGTTGGCAACTTACAAAAGAAAGAGGTTTAATTGGACTCACAGCTGCACGTGGCTGGGAAGGCCTCACAATCTTGGAGGAAAGCAAGGAGAACAAATCACATCTTACATAGATGGTGGCAGGAAGAGAGGGAATTCGTGCAGGGAAACTCCACCTTATGAAGCCATCAGATCTCATGAGACTTATTCACTACCACGAGAACAGGATGGGAAAGACCTGCTCCCATGATTCAATTACCTCCCACTGGTCCCTCCCACAACACGTGGCAATTCAAGGTGAGATTTGGGTGGGGACACAGCCAAACCATATCACTCACTGTTGCCATTAAGTGTCCTTCCTATGGAACACCCATCTCTTTGTAAGCTCAGGAACCCAACCATTCTGAAATTCCTGAGTTTTTGCTTCACTAATTTTCCTCATTCTTCCCTGTGTCTTCAACCCTTCCCATACTGTAGGGTCCTTAATGCTTCAGCATTCAGATATGCTTAACTTAAAAAAGAAAAGTCACTCTCCATTAATAGCACATGAGCTAAAATAAGTTATGCACAGGTGAGAGTTTCTTTGACCAAGAAAGGCCAAAATAAAAAAAAAGCTGAATTTCCACTTAGCTTTTGCCCTATTTCTTTCTATAGCCAAACTTCTTATAAGGCTGTTTATATTTGTGGTCTTTACTGCTATGTCTTTTACTGACTACTTAACACACTTCAATTCGTTTTCTGTTCTGCCTCTCTATGGACATTTTCCTTACCATGGTCACCAAAGGTGTCTATACTGACAAATTAGATGACATTTTTGGTACTCATTTAACTTGATTCTCTCTTCTACGTAAACACTCTTTCCTTATGGTTTCTGAGCAGTAACTCACCTGTAGGTGTTTTCTTCCTGTCTGCTTTTTCCTTCTTGGCATTTCCAAAAGGTTCAACTCTTCTATCTCTAGATGTTGAAGGTTTTTTAGTTTGGGTTCTCTAAGGCAGATGTTTGCATGCAGGTGGTTTTTAGAAAGTGTTTGTAAAATTTGTTCTCACTCATAAGTAGGAGCTAAATAATGTGTACATATGGACGCAGAGTTTGGAATGATGGACAATGAGGAATCCACGGGGTTGAGGAGTGGGAGGAGGATGGACAATGGCAGGTTTCTTGGTGGGTACAATGCACATTGCTCCAGTAATGAATGCACTGAAGGCTCTGACTTCACCACAATGAACTATGTCAATGTAGCAAAAATTGCACTTCTATTCCATGATTATAAATAAATAAAAATTCAAATAAAGGAAATAATAAAAGAAGAAAAGGAAAAATGCTTGCAGAACTAATATCTCTAATGGCGTAAGAGAAGTACGGAGTGAAAGGAAGAGAAAAAGCAATGTAGTAGAGGCTTCAGCCCACCCTATGGGGAGCTCTGCAGCTAGGAGAAATATGAATATATATACAAACATATAAACATACATATAAGCATATGTATAAACTTTTTATAAGAAATTTGTCTCACATAATTATAGGGGTTGACTAAACCAGTCTGAATTTTGTAGAACAAACAGGAAGGGAAGATAAGCTGACTGAAACTAGAACCTCAAGGACATGAGCTAATGCACAGGTGAAAGTTTCTTTGACAAAGAAAGGTCAAAACCCTTTTTTAAAGACTTTCCAATGGATTAAGCTCCACATTGCAGCTTAAATTATAGATCCCTTGGGTTCACAATTCATTTTAGTCACCCCTAAACTTTCATTGTTGTTTTTCAGCATCAATGTATCAATAGCACTCAAAAAGAGCCACTTCCTTTGAACTTCCCAAATCCCTAAATTATGCTTTAGTTACAGGTGCATTCAATTCTTCTATAAGCCCATTCCAGTTAATACTGGTAAAGTTTTTAACAATTGCCCACTATGTCATGCTAGGAGCTATCTGTATTCCAACTACTACTAGTGTTGGAGTTTTCATTGCCAATTAACTGGTGGATTATCCAGCAGCAAAATCCTATTTCAGAGAATGCTTCCTAAGACTACTTTTGGCACCAGTAGTCCTCAGGTTCCCCAGAAGTCTCAGGTGATCCAACAGCTATCTGAAGTTGGGATGGTCTTTTAGAACTGCCCCACGTCAAAGCCAGGAGCTTCAGTATTTGTTTTCCCACATTGTCTAGTCATTGCATTTGAGCTGCCCCAGGCAAGAGACTCAGGCCAGAGACTCCCTTCTGTGAGCACACTTCTTGAAGAGGGACTCAGCTATGAGCAATCAGCAGCCAACACTAACAGTAGCTGGGGGAAATGAATGCTTTGGTCCTTCAGGAACAATCTGTTCAGTACAGCAGAGCATCCACTACATGGGGATGATCTTATTACTGTCATCTTGCCATTCTACTTCCTGCTTAAGTATTCTTTTCTAAAATTCCAGAATTGTTGATGACTCCCAAGCTTATATCTCTAGTCCAAGCTTCATCTTAGAGCTTCTGATTGATATATCCAATTGCTTATTTTAAAATTTACTTAAATATTTTACAGGAATTAAAACTGAACACATCTAAAAGTGAACTCTTACTATCATCCTAAATATCAATTCTCAGTGAAATCATGTCTCTTGTAGCAACATGGATGGAGGTTATTATTCTAAGTGAAATAACTCAGGAATGAACCAAATACCATATGCTCTCACTAATAAATGACAGCTAAGCCATATGCTATGCAAAGGCATATAGAGTGGTGTAATGGACATTTGAGACTCAGAAGGTGGGAGGATGGGAACAGGGTGAGGGATAAAAAAGTTACCTGTTGGGTATAATGTATACTGTTTGGGTGAGGGGTACACTTAAAACCCAGACTTCACCATTATACAATTTATCCATGTAACCAAAAACTACTTGTACCCCTAAAAATTATTGAAAAAAATTACTTTCTCTTCCAAACTTCCACAACTTAATAAATGGCACCTGTACCCAGGTTATTTCTCACACAATAAACTTGGAAGTCTTCTGTGATATAGTTTCCCACACATCTAATCTATTTGCAGTAGTCCTATTTCTGCCTGCAATATGCAATGACTTTGGCATGTCTCTACTTCATTCTAACATGCCCTCACTGTCACATCACAGCCATCTCTCTATTTCAGTTCTAGACTAAGTCATAATCTTCTGTTGTTGAAACTACTGCAATAGCCACTTAACTTAATTCTAACTCCCCCACTTGCCTTCTTCTAATCCACAGAGCAATTAAAGTGACCATTTAAAAAGATGCTTATAACACTTCAGAAGCTTAATATTTCTCTCCAGTTAAATTCCAAATCCTCAACAAAAACCTCCTGTTTTAGCCCCTGCCTGCCTTTCCAGTTTTATTTCATGCTATTCTGCAACTTACTTTCAGTACTTTGGCAAGTAAATTCAATGAATCCGTTTCCACTAGATAATAAATTTCATGAAGATAAATTCTGCATTAATTTTGAGAAATTAGATTCCCAATGTCTGGTCCATAGTAAGAATAGGATAAATATTAAATGGAAGAATGAAAGTGAAACTCATCAAAAATTAAATCTAAGCAAATAGAGAAAAGTAAAAACAGAATAAACGTATTTTATGCTTAAAAAACAATAAGATCTAGCCCTCACTTCAGTATGTCAAGGACTTCCAAAAAGTGAAGATTGCTGATAGCTCTGAAAGAAGTCCAGGTTGCATTAAACTAGGTAATACTTCAACTAAGAGGAAATAGAGAACCCAAACTGGTAAACATGGTGACACTGAGAAGTGGGAACTACTTATAGAAAAATCCTCAGTACAAGTTGAAGGCATCTTGATGTGATAAATCTTTCAGTGACTCTAAAAGACAATGTTCTAAGATGGAGATGGTGAACATTTCCATCAGAGCTTCCATAGCATGATAGATCATAAAGAAAAGTTATTAATAATAGGCAATACTGGAATAATTCATAAAAATAGTTTGGTTCAAAAAAATTATTTTCAGATATCAATGGATGAAACATGAGTTGAAATTAGAACACCAGGCTAAGATATGCGGGGCTACAGAAGTAGCTAGAAAGAAGTTCTGGCCCTTAAGATGGTTTCAGCCTAGGAAGAAATATAAAAAATATTTATACTCCCAAGCTATAAAAATGTGATAGATTTGGCTTAGGGCTATAGAAGAAGAGTTATGAAAGATGAAAGATTTTATAGACTTAATACGTAGGGAGGATTTTATAATATGTGTCAAGATCTGGGTATTTTACATATTTGATCTCATTGCATTATCACTAAAATTTTGTGAATTTATTATTATTGTCACTTGCAAGATAAAGAAACTGATATGCTAAGAGGCTTAGTAGCATGCCCAAAGTCATGCTGCCACTATGAAATTGAGATCCAAACCTACAGCTTAACTCAAAGTTCATAGATTTTCCAATATACTGTGTTGGTAGAGATTACCGCCAGGTGTGTGTGATTGTTTAATGTGTGTATATGTATCTGGTATTAGCATCAAGGAAAAATCAAGGAAATAAGTACATTTAAACTGATCTTTCTGGTTATTCAAATGACTGGTGTATCTTAAATCAAGGTTTGAAGGCCAACACCAAAAGTGTGTTGAGAATTTTAAG
Organism: Homo sapiens; assembly: GCF_000001405.40. NCBI lineage: Eukaryota > Metazoa > Chordata > Mammalia > Primates > Hominidae > Homo > Homo sapiens. The sequence goes on along the minus strand of NC_000011.10, from coordinate 49,394,458 downwards.
TTTGTGTCCTTTGATAATAATGTAGCTTTTCTAGAAAAGAAACCCTGCTCTCCTGCCCGTCAAACAACTACAGGTCACCGGGGTGTGCACCTTGTAAAACTTCATTAAGGTACATACTTACTTGATGCCTAAAAATATTTTGAGTGTAGACACAGACATTAAGTAAAAAAGAAGACCAGGAGCTATAGATATTAAAATTTTTATTAAAAACATTTACAAGTACACATGGAAAAAACATTTTTTATTGCTAGTAGTCTAATGTTAGTAGTCTTGAATTTAATGCTGCTCTATATTAGAAAATGAATTAACTAGCTGGTGTTAAATTATCTCTAAAACTAGGATGGTGGCCATGGAAGGAGAAAAGGACAGATGTGAGAAACCTCAAAATGAGAAAATTAAGAGGACTTAGTGACATAAATAATAGAGAGGAAAAATCAAAATTCACATTCAACTTGAAATTGTTTTTTCCCTAAGTTTTCCTTTTTGTCTAACTAGACTAATAACTAGTCTTTTCTCTAACTAGACTATTACCTAATTTTTAAGTACTAAAAAGTAATGCGTTGATCATATACTTAATTAACTGTTTCCATTTAGTTTTTCTTTATAATATTTTAAGGAAAACTATTAAGATTCTTTTTATGGTTCTAAGTACCCCTAACAATACTCAATATTTCCTATTAGGCATGGCTTTTAGGTATAACAACACAATGAGAATTACATTTAATTTACCAGTTACTGAGAACTTATTGAAAATCAGAAATTTTGCTAGAACTCAGGGGTGAAAAGATGATTAAGACTCTAAAACCATGTACTACTTTGAAGAAATGCACACTTACTGGAGGTGACAGGCAAGCTGATAAATACCTATGAAATTATAATGAAAATGTAATCACTTCTGAAAAATATTTTAAAAACACACTTTCATAAATAAGTTCATAATATAGAAAAAATAACAAACTATCCATAGCTCACTACATTATTTCTTCAGGTTGGCCCAATTTCTTTCATAATTATTATAATAGATGCCTTTCTATCTTTTCTATGTTAGACATAATTCAATCACTATTACTATATAATTGACATATACTTGTCACATACACACCGGACATGAGTATATTATTTCAATTTTAATGAGGAGGACACTTGAAGAACAGAGAACTTCCCAAAGTCACACAACTAGTAAAAAGGAGAGACCAGGACTTTTAATCATACATTCCTGATTTTACATCCTCATCCTTCGTGCTATCCATACTATTTCCTTGACTTTCAAATTCATCTTTGTCTAATTAGTAAAATTATCATTATTAATAGCATTTAGAATTTACTTTGTGACCCTAGACACCTTACAGCTTATTGACTCATGTAACCCTCATTCTACAGATAAAAAAACTAAAGCTGATAATCATTTTTAAAACATCATCCAAGGTAACAGAGCTCACATTGGTGCAGGCAGGATTTTAACTCCAGCAGTATGACTTTACATTTTAGAGATTTTGTCTCAGAAGAAATTGTAACCACCACATTATATGGTCAGTTCTGGAATTCAATAGGTCCAGAAAGATATAAATCTATAAAGTCAATCAAAAGAAATCATCAGCCATCATCTTGACAGAAACCTAAAAGCTCCTGGACAAGCAATTGAAGCAGCATCACTGTGTCATGTATTGACCTTAAAATTGCTGTCTCAGGTAAACTGTTTATTCTGAATTTAAAAAAATAAACACTGGAAGAAAAACTCATCACTGGTAGTATATAAAACCATCATAAAGAACAGCTGATGAGGTATATTCTATTTTTCCTAGGAATATAACTTGTTGTCTAGGTTAAGGTTGGAATTATGAGATTCAATGAAATGAGATAGATTGGAGAATGCAGGGAAGATTACTAAGAGAAGAAAGAAGACTTTGGAAAAGCTAATTCTACCAACACAGATGACATCTACCACAATCCACTTTGGAAAAAGATGGGAGGAGATGGGTTGAGTAGAAAAATGAGCAGAGAAAAAAGCAAGGAATATTAGCGCTTTGGTGATATTATAATGTTTTAACTCTGACCTGCCAATCACCTCTGTTTTGTGTTAGGGAACTGACAGAGGAATATACAATAAACAATATGCAAAGGGGAGAGAAGGTTCTATTAACAGCGATGTCAGTGACTAACTTTAGTTTGGGGTTCTCTGCTAAAGCTAGGTTGGTGCACAAGACTTAAGCAATAGTCTCAAGTGAAACTTTCAATGGTTAGAAAAAAATGACTCCAAATCTGGGGCACTTACCACCCTTAGTCTATCAAATTGTGAAAGGAAGGCAAAGAGAGAAAAGAAGCACAACAAAGATGACAGCAACCTCAATGACAGTCTAGCATATGTATGGCATAGAAGAAATGGAAGAGAGAATGAGAATATGGGATAAGGTCCTGCATCCACTTTTCTCCCAGGGACAAAAGACAATGAGAGATGAAGGTACTAAGAGGCACGCAAATTGTGTCAGGGGTGCCCAGTATCACCTAGGTTTACTAATCCTCTAAGGATACTCAAGATCTCAGTATAGTTTTACTCACAGCTATGATTTACTACAATGAAAGAATACAAAGCAAAATCAGCAAAGGGATAAAGTGTGTGAGGTGAAGTCCAGGGGAAATCAGGCACAAGCTTCCAAGAGTCCTTTTCAGTGGAGCCGCACAGGATACACTTAATTCCTCCAGCAACAAGTTGTGACTTGCATGAAGTGTTGTCTATAAAGGAAGTTCTTTTAGACACTCAGTGCCCAAGGTTTTTATTGGAGGTTCATCACATAGGCATCTTGCCTAGCACATATCACAATTCCAGAGTCCCAGAAAAAAAGCAGGTGTTCAGTATAAACCTTATTGTTTGCACGAAAGTTTTGTAACATTCAGTCATTGTTATCATTTAGGGTAATGAGAATTGTCCTGAAATTTCAAGTTCCCAAATGCCAGCCAAGAGACAAGCTTGCAAGCACACTTTTCTAAAAAGGATATCAGTCTCAGGCCTGGTGTATTAACTTTTTTTCTGCACACAGATATATGTGTAATCCTTTACACACAAGAATCATAGCTATTAATAAATGTGACCAATAAAAATTTCACACCCTGTCCAAATTATTGTTCTCTATTCCCTATTCTTGAAGGCAGAAGAAAGAAAGGGACGAGAGGAAAGGCCGACCAATCAAAATAGAAAAGCATCTCTGTCTCCTACAGAAATGCCGAAGTTGGTTCAAAACCAGTAAGTGAAGAATAAAAAATAAGATATAAAAAGTTGCAGAATCTTCCTTCCCAGTTACCACACCTAGAAAAAATAGATACTGTCAAGCCTCATTATATGTAGATTCCATATTTGCAAATCACCTGCTTGCTAAAAATTTTTGGGACCCCCAAAATTAATACCTGCTGCACTTTCATGGTTATTTGCAGCCATGAGCAGAGCAGCCAAACATTTGTCTCTCCAGGCTGACATTCCCAGCTGAGCCCCAAGTGTAGTGAAGTTTTGTTTAGTGTTCCTAGGGACGTCCCATTAAAGTCTTTTTTCAGAATAAAACAAAAAGTCTATCTTCTTGTCTTGTGGATTATATATATTAGATAAACTTTGTCCAGGGATGAGTTCAATGTTAATTAATCAACAATATATATTAAATAAGGTGTCTTTAAAAAGAATCACACATATACAAGGTTATATATTAAAAGGTTGACGGAAATTTGATCATAGGTTCACGGGAGCCTATCTGAGAGTAATGGTTTGCTATTCACTAATTCAGTCTGTGTGGCAAATTTATAGAACAAAACTACCATAAATAATGAGAATTGACTCCACTTCAAACATCACTTCATACACAAAGAACCTCTATCTACCATAAAGTCACCGGGTTCTGCAGCACATTGTGCACGTTAGGGAGCTATAGCAACCATGGGCACAGAAGGGGCTGTGACTGGGCAGGGCCAGTGCCTCAATGACTCCTCTGAGCCCTGGGGCAGAGAAAAACTCAGAATCAAGGATAATAGGCTAATTCAAGCGCTGAATTGGAAACAGACAAACTCAGAGCTTGGATTAATCCAAAAACCCAAACAAATAGGCTTTTGCCAATTGTGGCAGCGAACTTTGGGTCTTAAAGTCTGTAGCTGGGTTATTAACCAACAGGGAAAAACAAGGTTCAAGGTTAAAGTTAGGTTCCAGGAAATAGGTAAGGAAAAGAGTTTATATTAGAAAACAAAACAAAAGATGTAGTCATAGTACAACTTCAAGGTATAGCTGTGGCTCTCAGGGCTCTGTCTGTCTGTTAGCCCTAATTTGAAGCACTCTTCCTGTTACTGGTAGGTAAGGGTTAAAGGGAAGGGGTAACTGCCCCAAAAGACAAGGCTTAACAATGCCCACATGGTCATAATATATATTACTAGATATTTTGTTTCAATCTGCTTTGGAAAACAGGTATAAGGTAACTATGCCCTCAATATTTCCCAAGTGTCCCATTAGATATTTAAAATAAATAACTAAACAAACCACTTCCTATGATCACTGTAAGAGAAAACCAAGGCACAGAGGCTGCTATTTAAAAATCTTGAAATCTGAGTTTATTTACCAGTCAAAACCTCCATTAAAGTCTTTTATCAAAATAAAACACAAATTTAATTTCAGAAATCACCTTGTCAAAATGCATGTGCATTTGGAATCTGTCATAATTAGCAGTTACTCTAAGTGTATTTTTTCACACAATATTTGGGTCTATATCTGAAATGCAAAGCCAATTCTGGCATGTATGCTTACATTTCCCAGTTGATTACACATTTATCAGCAAGCTGCAAACTTGGCCTCTGCAACACAAGCCACTTGTAAAGATTTCTCAGAGATTTTCTTGCCTAATAGAAAGTCTGATGAGAAACTTTTACTGTCACATATTTTCATATTTTTCAGCCCTAGCAAACACATTCCTGACACGTGAATCAATACAAATAAGGGAAGACATTTCAGAGAAACTGTTAGTCTTCAGAATTGAGATTTGCATCAATGCCTCTCTGATTTGTGCATCCTTCAAATATTTTTTCCCCAATTATCTTTTGTGTTACTCTCTCGCTGGCTGCTGCTGATGAGTAATTTTACAACACTGGTGCTATTAAAGCATGCACTCATGACCCCATTGTGACACAAAGCAAATAGTGCACATAGCGAATGCAAGCACATAACTGCTAATCTTGCCTTTTAAATGCATTTGAACTTGACCTATTGAAATAACCATTACAGAATGTATGACAGCTTGGCAAAATAGAAGGGGCAAGACACCATCTCAGGAAAGCAGACTCTTTGAAAATAAATCACGAAAGACTGCAATGTGGTAGGAATTGATTGAGAAAAATGCAGTACCACAGTGAAGTAACCTGCTTAAACCCTACAAAACAAGTCACTACTTCTAAAAGCTCTGTAAGTTAGAGCTCAGTGGCATCTGATTTAATCCATAAATGACTCTAAAAGAAAACAATGGCTAATAATTTAATGTAAAGAGCATATATTTAAAAACATCAATAATATAATGTCTTGTATTCTGAAGCAAATATATTTTCTTTTTTCTTTTCTTCTTTCTTTTTTTTTTTTTTTTTCCCAGATGGAGTTTCAGTCTTGTCGCCCAGGCCAGAGTGCAATGGCACAATCTCAGCTCACTGCAACCTCCACCTGCCTGGTTCAAGTGATTCTCCTGTCTCAGCCTCCCGAGTAGCTAGGATTACAAGTGTGAACCACCATGCCCGGCTAATTTTGTACTTTTAGTAGAGATGGGGTTTCACCATGTTAGCCAGGCTGGTCTTGAATGCCTGACTTCAGGTGATCCACCCACTTCGGCCTCCCAAAGTGCTGAGATTACAGGTGTGAGCCACCATGCCCAACCAGCAAATATATGTTCATGCTGCTGATGCAGGAAAGCATTTCAACTTGGTATAGCCTAGGCATATCTTAGGACCTTTAAAGGTGCCCACAGTCATATATACTGAAGCATTTTTACTCATCCTATCCACTATAAAATTATCAATCCTACTGAGAGTCAAAGTCAACATAGAAACACAAGCTATAATGATTCTCAGAGAGCATTTTTAGAAAAAAGACTGATATGCATTTTACTGACAGGAAAAGTAGTTTTCAGATGGTATCAGAACACTGGTCTCTAGGACAGGGCTTATGGCAAATGGCTCATATCCCACCTTGGTAAATGTTAGGCACACTTGACAGTAACTCTACTATTATTCTTTATTTTATGTCATTTGAAGATTCCAAAAAAGGGAGATTATGATGTGCTGGATAAAATAAACAAAAATCTGTAAGCAGGAGTTTTTACATGTGTGTAAATATGTACTGTATACTCAATGTTTAGGTAAGATTGACTCCTCAATGGTCAAACATAAAAGCTCAACATTTAAACTTCATAATGAACATACTATGTTTTATTAATTTTCTGTGCAAATATATATATTTTTAATATTTTAAAATTATATAAATATTTAATGTTCCTATCTTACTGGGCACAATTATGAGATTTAAAAATAATAAGAAAAAACAAACCAAAAATAAAACCAAAATCCCAAACCCCGCATGTTAAATTTAAATATCAGAATCCTATCATTCCCAATTACATATCCTGCTGTAAGGAAAATTACAGAAGCATTGAGTGGCTTGGAAATTAGAACACTTTCGAAGTGTTTCAAAGGAGTAGTTCTTAAATACTACTTTTTTATTATCTTCACATGTAAGACTGATCCTTCTTTAGGATGAAAACAACACTATGCTCTTCTCAAAATCCTAGAGAAAATTCTTGATTATTATTGCCAAAAGTGCATAATTCCCAATGAAAAGAGATTTTAAGTATGTTTGAACAAATTTTATTTGTTTCAATTGTAAGCACTGTGTCATGTTCTAAAGCAATAAAGGTTTTCCTACATACTATGACTTTATACATGCTATGACTTTATAGCAATAAAATTATATATAAATATATGCATATTTTCGATTATTTACGAATATTGAATTTCATTTAGTGCTTTCTCTTCAGCACTGTATAATGCCACACTTTCATTTAACTAGATAACAAGGATCAAATGCCAAACCTGGATTGCTGAGCATCTCACACTTGGATGGGAGGACTACACTTTCTCTAACTGCAAACCCGAAATTGTTGAATGCTATGAAAGCTGGAGGGTGTTACTAAGCATTATTCTAGAATTTCATTTTCACTCGAGTTTTTTTTTATAATCCACCATAAAAATACACACATGCACACACACATTATTTAAATATAAAAATATACAAGATAACATGAGATTTGATGAAAACCCATAATGTAAAATATCTCCAGTAAGAGTAAACAGCTATACATTTACTTTATTCCCATCTAAAAAAAAAAAAAAAGCAGATAAAACGTCTTGCATTTTTTGTAAATGGAAGGATTTCTAGTGATAAGACATAGGTCTTGAATTTAATTCAGTAGAACCTCTCATAAACACCTAAATTTTCCTCCATTAAATCTTAAATAAGTGGGATAACTTATGCTACCCTCTGCAATTCCTAACTTAATTTTCATAAGTCAATACAATTATCTCTAGCCATATTGGGCCTGACCAAAACTAGCTAAGAGGAATTCAGAAAGCATATACTAGATTTAACAAAAGACTTTCTTTGTGGGGAGCAGAACAAAGACAGACAGTGGTGCTGGTTTGCTGTGTGTGTTTCTCTACTCGCCCAGAAAATAAAATTAAATAATCAATCTTTCAGGCACAATGGACTGCAACTCATAAAAGCCTGAGTTTTACTTTCTTACAACAGTGTTTGATTTTTACTCTGTCATCAAAAGTCTACTAAGGGAGATTTGCCTAGGAAATCTCTCTCTTCACCACACTTCTCCTCCCTCTTCCACATTTTTGCCACACTACAACCCTGGTAGATATTATTCCCATTTTTATGTGAGTGGTCTAATATATTTCAGGGATGAAGGCTCCAAATTTTCTGATTTCTCTCTCAGAAGCCTATTTACTCCATAACCATTGAATGTGGCTGAATAGAATGGTAACACTGGCACTCTCTCAGGGTAGAACAGCATGTCATCCAATTGTATGCTTAATTTTTAAAGTGATTTCTACTTTTCCCACCTCTAATTTAATTTTTTTATTATTTATTTATTTATTTATTTTTGAGACCGAGTCTTGCTCCTGTCCCCCAGGCTGGAGTGCAATGGCCAAGCTTGGCTCACCGCAACCTCCGCTTCCCAGGTTCAAGTGATTCTCTTGCCTCAGCCTCCCGAGTAGCTGGGATTACGGGTGCCTGCCCCCATGCCAAGCTAATTTTTGTATTTTTGGTAGAGATGGGGTTTCACCATGTTGGCCAGGCTGATCTCGAACTCCTGACCTCAGATGATCTGCCCGCCTCAGCCTCCCAAAGTGCTGGGATTACAGGCGTGAGCCACAGTGCCCGGCCTTAAAACAAATTTTAATGAAAAGAGAAAAAAAAAAGATAATCTTCTGCTAACGCCTTTTGGTAAGCAGATAATTGTCATATTTAAATAAAGGTGTAATTGCACCTGGTGGGCACCCAGTTCTGCCATTAAAAATGCCACACTGACTGAAGAGATTGTATTTTCCTAAACCTGTTAGTCCCTGGGAACCTAAAGAATAAACTGTGCAGCACATCCAATCACAGAGTGTAGGGTATGTCCCAGGTCATGTTCTAACATACATGCGGTAAGGTATTTTACATTCCTTTGAGGTTCAGCTGCAGATAGAAACCTAGAAAATTTAACAGCTTTGTCTTTAGCCAATGTGTTGGCTGCAGTAAATTTTTAAGCAAGTAAGCAAAGCTCCCATCTTATGCACTGTGGATATTTCTCACCACTAAAATGAATTACATAGTCATACTAAATTGATACTAGGTTCAAGCGAATATGCTGTTATAAGTAAATATATATACTTTTATGTTACAACAGAGACAATGTGTGTATCTCAATGTCTACAATTGTTAAGAAGGTTTTCATTCCCTGGGTGAAAGGATAACGGTTGTGAAATATGACCTTGCAATGACAGAATTTTAATGCATTGTGTATGTGACTAAAGCAATGCATGGCATCCTGGCCTTCTTTATTGCTATGTATATTAGAGTATTTTGCAGTGCTGGCTCTCATCTAAGTGTCGGGGTCTTCTCTAGGTCAAATAGCAGCTCGTCAATGCTTTATTTCTTAAAGAACCTAGATGTAATTTTAATCTAAGATAAAGTTTCTTGCTAAAATTCTAATGTCAGTGAAAATGTGAAAAGTTCCTTAAAATCTAGCCAAACATCACATTCTTTCACATTCTTCCAAACCAGAGAAATAGCCAGTTTACTATGTATTTAAGCATCTTTTGAGTTATAAAAGGAAAAACATTATTATGTCCTGATGTGTTAAATGATTTTGCTTTCCCTGACAATTTTTATTCCTCCTATGAGACATTTCTTGCCCTTCCTAGTTCCAAAATGTGAATTTTAACACTTTGCATCAGGTTGTTGGTCTCCGTTCTAAAGCAACATTAAACTTTCTGCTAATTTTTATAAAAGATCCACATGGCCTTTTTTTCTCTTATCTTATAATAAACCCCTCTTTCCTAAGTATTAGATGTTTTCTGCTTTTTCTCTTTAGAAAACTTAGTTTAGCTAGTCTTTGCAATTCTGTCCTTTGAGAATAAAGAATATAATAGTATAGAATAGAATAAAGAGTCTTACAGAATAGAACAATAAAGTTAGCGCAATAGAGAGGATATTTAGAAGAGAAATAACAGTGAGTTCTCATTGTCCTGAGGTGGCTGAAGTAAATGCCAATCTCAGTACATTTGATTTCATTTATTTCCTGTCTCACTAGTTTACAAAATGCTGACTCTTTTCTCCTGGGCAAAAAGTGAGTTATGGTCATGTGAGTAGTGAACAATAGTCATTTGTTTTGACACCAGTTTTTCCTGGGTGGTTAGAAAGCTGGTGAAGTTATGATTTTCATCTATCAACTTGAATTTAAAATTATATTATTAGCATTTTCTAGAAACTACACTATTACAGATTTCTCCAATGCAAAACTCTGGAGAACACAGTCCCTTTACCACAATTATCATACTTAAAAACAGGTATATGAAAATGGTTTTTAATAGGCAAAACATACTAGACTAACAAATTTAGAATAAGAAGATAGATTCGTAAGAAGAGTATAGTTTTCTGAATCAGAATCTGGAATTAACACTCAGTATCATATTTTCCACATGGCACTAAACAGGGTTTAACAGGGAGATTCAAACTCACAGCGCAAGATATTTTTATTAGATGAAGATTTCATGGGGAGGTGAAGAGCCTTTCAATAGAAGAGATTAAAAAAATTGAACTCCAGGACGGGCACAGTGGCTGACGCCAGTAATCCCAGAACTTTAGGAGGCCGAGACGGGCGGATCACAAGGTCGGGAGATGGAGACCATCCTGGCTAACACGGTGAAACCCCATCTCTACTAAAAAAAAGTACAAAAAATTAGCCGGGCGTGCTGGTGGGAGCCTGTAGTCCCAGCTACTCGGGAGGCTGAGGCAGGAGAATGGCGTGGACCTGGGAGGCGGAGCTTACAGTGAGCCGAGATCATCGCGCCACTGCACTCCAGCCTGGGCGACACTGCGAGACTCTGTCTCAAAATACATAAATAAATAAATAAATAAATAAATAAATAAATAAATAAATAAAAATAACTGAATTCCAGTCTCAGGTCTGCTACAAACTCAATAGATGACTTGTAGCAATTTTAGGCCTTAGTTTTCCCAATCGTAAAATAAGACTACTCCTACCTTCAGTATTTTATATTCAACAATATAACTGTATATGGAAAAAGTCATAGCTAGCACAAGAAAAGGAAACTTCTTAAAGTGAACAGCAACTTAAAAATGTTCCCCTTGGTTTGTTTAGAAAACTCACTTTTTGTCTAGTATAACCATCCTTAAGAAACAAACCTTTTTTTCTTAAAATGTCTTCTCTTTTTTATAATGAATATTCTTCATCACTAGCATTATCTGTTAATGACAACAGTCCAATTGCCTCCAGTGAATCTCTTTAACAACGGCTCATAATTTAAATCCATCACCCGCTGTGAATGCTCCAAGTAAACACTGATTTGTGGGTTTATAAATCACATGGCTGTGTAGATTAAATTGATTCAGCCTGTTCCTTGTCTACATTGCTTTTATGCTGTTGTTTTAAATGCCTATACTACCACAGTCACCCAACTGGCATTTTAACGTCACTGAATGAAGAACTATCAAGCATTTCTCTTTTAACTTGAAATTTTTAAAAAAGCAAATGAAGTCCCAATTGTATCTATCTATATGTATGGATTTATGTAGTATATATGTACAAGTGTGTGTGTATGAATCATAGTTTTTTAGAATTATTTATATTTAAAAATTATAGCCTTCCCTTGCATAAATCAGGGTGATACAGCAAGATTAAAAACCAATGGAAAGTCCTATTGAATTCTCTGTTTGGAAACATATAAAGAGAATGCTCTTGTCCACAAAATAAATGTCTTGGTATAATCCTATAGAAATTGGTAGTTTGGGCCAGGCGTGGTGGCTCACACCTGTAATCCCAGCACTTTGAGAGGCCAAGGTGGGAGAATCACTTAAGCCCGGGAGTTTGAGACCAGCCTGGTCAACATTGTGAAACCCCTGTCTCTACTAAAAATACAAAAATTGGTGGCGTGTGCCTGTAGTCCCAGTTACTTGGTAGGCTGAGATGGGAGGATCACCTCAGTTCAGGAGGTGGAGGTTGCAGTGAACTGAGATCACATCACTGCATGCCAGTGTGGCTGGAAGACCCTGTCTCAGGAAAAAAAAAAAAAAAGACAGAAAAAGAAAAGAGGTGTATGAGTAGAAAGACCTATAGCAATAGCCATTTTGTTTAGAGGTTCTTAAACAGGTGTGCTTCTTTCTGGAGTGTGTTTGTAGGTTCCCCAAAATTGTAGGGATGTGCTGTATGTCATACTAAACATTTTAATCAGATTCTCAAAAGGATACACTATCCAAAAATTAATAAAATGACACATTTTAGTCTATGTATGAGAAGTAATTTGACTTAGTCACACCATTAGCCTGCAACAACGTTGATAGTTCCAGAACTCAGATTCCTAAGGCTTCTCATGCTAGTGTGCACTCAAATGCTAATTCCTTTTTTTTTTTTTTTTTTTTTTTTTTTGAGACAGAGTCTCACTCTGTTGCCAGGGCAGGGTTGGAGTGCAGTGGCACAATCTCAGCTCACTGCAACCTCGGCCTTGCCTCCCCAGTTCAAGTGATTCTCGTGCCTCAGCCTCCCGAGTAGCTGGGACTATAGGCACCCACCACCATGTCTGGCTAATTTTTGTATTTTTAGTAGAGATGGGGTTTCACCATGTTGGCCAGGTTGGTCTTCAACTCCTGACCTCAAGCGATCTGCCTGCCTCGGCCTCCCAAAGTGCTGGGATTACAGGTGTGAGCCACCACGGCCGGTGCAAATGCTAATTCCTGACAAGCAGAGTGTGTTTCCTAAACTTGCATCATCTTGTGAACAAATGTTGCTGCTTTATTAGTTCCAAAGTTATAGTGAGCTTATAGAAATTTCAAGGACACCATTTCAATTTTAACATTTATTGCTACTAAAATTAGTGATGTAAGGCTTGTAATATAAGAATGATCCCCAGAGAAATAATCCCTCAAAAATAAAACAAAGTTCTCTTAAACATGCAAGATGAAGCCCTGCAGAAGCAAAGATGACCTATGTTTGTCATTTAACATTTGAACACCTACTGGAACTTAAATAAGCAAGGAGGCTCATCTAGAATGGCAGACAAGCTTTGAAACATCATCTTTCTTTTGAAAAATCTTCTACCTGTTTTAATGAAATTAGGTCTGTTAATATAATCACATAAACATATGAGCAGTATAGAGTCAGTATTGCACATTAAGCCTGGACTAACTCGAAGTTTCTTTTCACTAGTTCTTTCTGTTAAATGTTTTCATGAAAATTCTTTTTAATCTAAAGACTGTTGTCAAGACATACTAGTTATTAAATATGCCTTCAGAGCTAAATCTGCATGAGCATTCCACATTTCCTGTCACTTTTTGGGGTTCATCTTCTTTCCACAGAAAGGAGAATTTCAAGGAAAGGAAGAAATATCTACAAGTAAATATCATTCAGTATGGGTTAGCATGCTTGATTGCTATTGGTGAATTATAGCAAAAAAAGGCCTTAGCATCTATAATGTTATGTTTCATGTAACATTTTAACAATGGCAAGGTAAGTCACACTGCTGATTTCAGCAATGTGTTATATTTGATAGCAATTGATAGCTGACTACTAAACAAAATCACTTAACTGTATGAATGTTTTAATTCTTTTTTTTTTTTTTTTTTTTTTTTTGAGATGGAATCTTGCTCTGTCACCCAGGCTGGAGCGCAGTGGTGCAATCTTGGCTCACTGCAACCTCTGCCCACCGGGTACAAGCGATTCTCTGCCTCAGTCTCCCGAGTAGCTGGGATTATAGGCGCCCACGACCACACCCGCCTAATTTTTGTATTTTTAGTAGTGATGGGGTTTCACCAACTTGGTCAGGCTGGTCTTGAACACTGACCTCGTGATCCACCCACCTTGGCCTCCTAAAGTGCCGGGATTACAGGTGTGAGCCATGAATGCCTTAATTCTTAAGATAGTAATGGGGAATATTGTTCTGAGCCAAGAATATGATAGCCAGGGAACATAAGTTTATAAGATCACACAGTGTAGTTCCAACAGTAACTTTAAACCCAATAGTTCCCTATGGAAACTCAGGATACCAAAAAGTGCAACTGTAATATTCTGGATTCTAAACTTAAGTTTGAATAAGAATATCATATTTCCTCTTAGTTAAAAGGTAAAATACAGGTTTTACTGTTCATGAATGTGACTAGACTTTCAATATCTCCATCATAAACCAATGTGTGACAAAGGAGATAAATCTTATATTCAGTCCCTACTGACACACATGATGTCCTTTGTTCTCAAAGTGCAAATTAACTAACTATCCTTAGAGGCTACAGCCTAAGACAAACCCTACCTGGGAAAAAAACAATAATAATAACAGAGACAAAAATGCTGAAAAAAGGAAAAAGTTATCAGTATATGTGTATATATATAATATATCCCTTTATAATTTATAGTAGGAATATTTTCATTACCATGCAATTGTGATAGATTTAAATAAAGATGAAAGGAACCTATTAAATCATTATGTCTAATGCATGCTAAGGGAAGGCATATTTCCCTAGAGAGAGGAATAAAAAGAAAAAATATATAAAAATAGATACTATAACAACGTTTGAGGAAGGTTCAGTTAGCATATAGTCTTCAGATATCAAATAGAGGTATTAGCATAAGTAGTGGAGACGATTAGATATTGACACAAAGTACCCGTATAAATACAGAGTCTTGTGCTGTGTTTTCAAACATCTAATATATTTGCCTGGAGTGCTTGCAAATTAAAGCTACTCTATTTATACACAACATAGAAAATGGAATTAGAGCTTCAATGAATTTTTAATTTTGTTCAATCTTGCATTTGTTCAACCAAAAACAATTTAAAGAGGAACACGACAATCAGCCTTAGACTGAGCAAGTTCAGCTCCTCACTAGGGGGTTCTTGAATCCACCATAAAAATCAACAGTGTGCATCTAATAGTTTTCTTTTAATTTGAGAACTGAAAAGTGAATCATCACATCAAATATTCTTCAGGGTCTCTTTGGTTTCCAGATTAAACATGTAATGTGACCGGTCATCTTGCCAGATTCTCACATTTCCATTTTAAATAATCATAAATTAGAAAACCTTACTATTCTTTGGCATAACACAGCTGTCTGATTCCGCTGAGTTCCAAAGTCTTAGAAATTGCACTCATTCCTTCTTTAGAGTCCTGCTTCATGGCAAAAGTTTTCAGCTGAAAGACTCTTTATTGTATTCAAATCTCGTCCCATATGAGTTGTTCTGGTTTCTCAGTTTATGAAGAGTCTTAGATAGTGAATTGGGTCCACAACAGAAAACACCAACTGTTTTCCTAGAACAAGAGCGGAGAAAATGGAAAATCAGGTGCAAAATTAGGCAGAACATGACAAGAAGTATGCTTTATGAGCATGGTTTAAAGTATTAACAAAGTTGATTTCTTGCTATTTTACATATTGAAAACAATTTTCTAATTATTTCCAAATATAAATGTCAACCAGGAAAATATTTTATTTACCTCATACTTTTCATTCTAGAATTTAGGATAATTCAAAGAATGTACCTATGAGCACAAATATGCTTATTATCAGGCAGAGATTTATCAGTTTGCCTTAGTCTTTTCATGACTTGTCATCGGTGAAACCAGCAACCTCATTAAGAGCAGTAATTGATAGATGTCAATTGCTAAACAGGTGACCTCTGAATAGATGTTCAGTCCACACTGGACAATGTACATTCTTCTTTTATTAGACACTTTACACATAGTTATCTAAAATTCCTACATGGATTTGCAAAAGCAGTGATGAATAAGGAAGGAAAGAAAAAAGATATTACCAATTTGAAATAATAATTTTAAGTGGTTAATTTATATTCACAGTAAAACGAAAAACATATTCATCTAGTTCTTTTTTATTTATGCACTGCAATAATGGTAACAAATTCCAAGCAGTTTTTATTATTCTCTAACATAAAATTTTAGTAGTTAAATAATACGTATCTCTAACAAATAGACTAAATAAATCCCAGGAAATAAATAATATTTCAAATTGACCTTCTTCCCAAGTTTGATTTGCATTTGATTCTTCCTAGGATGTCAAAATGATTAATATTTCATCTCATATCTTGGGAAAATCCAGTATGACTTAATTATCTCAGAATAACTCATGCTGAACAAAAGACATTGAATCCATTAAAACTGGTACCAAAAATTAATAGTAAATACTGAAAAAAAAAGTTATTAAAACTTTTTACCTTGAAAAATGAAACTAAAAGCTGTGAAAATATAATTTTACTTGCAGCCATGATGGGGTAATAGGGAGTAGATCTACCCTCTTACATTAAAAATCTAGAAAAAAGCAAACAAAATAGATGAAGTAAGTATTTTCGGACACTGAATAATAGGTAGCATGGAACTATGATCCCTGAGAAAAGGGAAGAAAACAAGCTAAGCACAGTCACCCTCTTTGCTTATTGCCTGGAGGCAATCTACTGGCTGCAGCAGACAGGGGAAACTCCAGCAAAGATTGGTGATTACACTGAGGAGACAAAGAACGGAGTTCATTAAGGACCAAACAGCTGGAACTTGTGGAGCAGAATATGGAAGGGAAGGGAGATCCACAGAAAGACGCCTCGGAGATTCGTAGCGGAGAATCCTCAAGTCTTTGATTAATAATCAGTTCATATACGATAAGAAACTTCATGAATGTGAGTAAAGAGCTATCAGAGATCAATAGGACAAATAATTGCCAGAGTTTACACAGGACTGCAAATAATTTGTATTCACACACACCAGAATAGAAAGTCCTATAAATACAGGGCAATGGGTTGTATTCTCAGAAATGTACCACCTTATTTGCAAGGAGTAGAGGGGATATTGGTAAAATTAGCCTTGGACTGAAGGCTGCTCTGAACTTCCACTAACAAATCTTAAAAGTGAGCCTTGTAAGGATCAAACTGAACCCGAGTAACTTAACTGCATGTCAGAACAAGTCCAACACTATTAAATAAATCAAAATTTGGCACCTAATATTTAAACTTTAAAATGTACAGAAATCAACAAAAAAGTACCAGGAATTCAAAAAGCAAGAAAGTATGAACTATAACTAAGAGTGTTATGGGCTGAAGTGTGCCCCTCCAAAACCCATATGTTGAAGTCCTAACCCTCAGTGATTCAGGATGTGACTGCATCTGGAGATAAGGCTTTTAAGGAGGCAATTTAAGTTAAAATGAAGGTACTAGGGTAGGCCCTAATCCAGTCTGAATGGTGTACTTACAAGAAGTAATTTGAACACAAAAAGAGACACCAGGGAAGTGCATGCACAGAGAAAAAGCCACCTGAAGAGGCATCAAGAACATAGCCATCTGCAAGTCAAGGAGAGAGATCTCAGGAAACCAGTCCTGCCTGCATTTTGATCTTAAACTTCCAGCCCCCAGAACTATGAAAAAATAAATTGCTGTTGTTTAATCCACCAGTCTGTGGTATATTGCTATGGTAGCCCTAGCAAACTAATACAAGAAGAAAGAGCATTCAACAGAAACAGGCTCAGAATGATAGAGACGACAGACGTGGTCATTGAAACAGTGATGATACACAGGCTTCATATATTCAAAGAAAAGCATAATCATGATGAGATGATAAATGGAATATTTTTAAGGCCCAAACATAAATTCTAGAGATGGAATGCAATATTTGAAATGATAAATATACTAGATGAGGTAATAAAAGAATAGGCATTGCTGAAGAAAAAGTAAACTTGAAGAAAAAGCATTAGAATCTATCCAAATTGAAGCCCACAGAGAACAAAAACTGAAAAAAAAAAAAAAAAAGAAGAAGAACAGAGCATAAGTGGCCTGTGGGACAATACCAACTAGTCAAAAATACATGTAACCGCAGTCCAACATGAGAGAAGACCAAGGGAGAAGAAAAAAAAAAAATAAAAGATCTCATTAAATCTCAAGGAGAATAAACACAAAGGAAACTATACCTAGGCAATTGATAATAAAATACTAAAAACGAGTGACAAAAAGAAAAACAAAAAACCAAACAGACTAGGGGAAAAGACACATTACAAATCATCAACAGAAAATATAAGAATGAAATATAAGAATGAAAGTGAACTTTTTGTCATAAACTGTGTAAGTCAGAAGGCAATGAAGTGATATCTTCAAAGTACTAAAATATAAATCAAGACATCAACTATTATATATCAAGCAAATTTTATGCCAAACAAAAATGATTTTTCAGAAATGAAGATGGAATAAAAACTGTATACAAACAAAAGCTGAAAGAATTGTCAGCAAACCAGCACTATAAAGGACACTAAAGAAAACTACTCAAGAAGTAGGAATATAAAATTAGATAGAAATTTGAATCAACCAAAGGAAAGAAGGACACCAAAATAGTAAAATCTGTCAGTAAATATAAAATATTTATTTTGTCTAATTTCTAATATTTTTAATATATGTTAGATGTTTAAAACAAAAAATACTAATAATGAGAATTATAACATATGTATATGTAAGATGAATGCAAAAATAGCAAAAGGGATGGAAGAAATGGAAGTACATGAAGTGTTACAATATTATTCAAAGTACCAGCCTGGCCAACAGAGTGAGATCCCATTCCTACAAAAAATTTTAAAAGTTAGCTAAGCATGGTGGTATGCAACTGTAGTTCCAGCTACTCAGGAGACTGAGGTGGGAAGAGCTCTTGAGCCCAGGAATTCAAGGTTGCAGTGAGTCTAGATCATGTCACTGCACTCTGGCCTGGGCAACAGAGCAATACTCTGTCTCTAAAAAATAAACATAAACATAAACATAAAAAATAAAATAGGCTGTGATAAGCTAATGATGTATACTGTAAACTTAGAACAATGTTTCTTTAATTTTGGCTTCATCAGAATCATTTTAGAGACTTCATAGAACACAAATAGTTAGGTCTCCCCATCCCTAGTTTCTGATTTGGCAGATCTTGGATAGGGCTCAAGAATTTGCTTTTCTAACAAGATTCCAATTGATGCTGGTCTAAGGAATCCAGTTCAGGAACCAACAACCTAAAGCAATTACTAAAAAGAAAAAAAAAATACAGAGGCATGTCTAACTTTAGAGAAAAAAGTGGAATTATAAAAAATACTCAACCCAAATCAAGGTAAAAAAAGAAAATAAAACAAAGAAAGAACAAATAGATAAGTACAAAGCAATGGTGAACTGCTAGATTTAAAGCCAACTGTATTTTCATTAAATTAAATGTAAATGATTTAAACACCGAAACTAAAAAGCTTCAACATAAAGCAAACACTGATGGAACTGTAAAGACAGATAAATTCATAATTATAGTTAATTATTTCAATACTCTTCTCTCAGTAATTAATACAAGCAGCCAGAAATTCAGTAAGCCTATTGAAAACTTGAACATCACTATCAACCTATTGGAACTAATTGGCATTTGTAGAATGTTCTATCTAACAATAATGGAATACAAATTCTTTTTAAGTGCATATGGAACATTCACCAAGATTGAACATATTCTGGGCAATAAAACAGGTGTCAATACATTTTAAGGGATTAGAATCACAAGGAGTTCATTTTTAGATCAAATCCCAATTGAACTAGAAATTAAGAACAAAAAGATATCTGGAAAATTTCTGCGTTTTTGGAAATTAAACAACATTTTTAAATAACCCATGGGTCAAAGAAAAAACATAAAAAATAAAACATATTTGAACGAGATGAAAATGAAAACAAATCAAAATGTATAAGATTTAGCAAAAGTGGTGTTTAGAGGAAAATGTACAGCATTAAACACTTTTATTAAGAAAAACAGTCTGAAATCAATGACCTATGTTTCCATTTTAAGAAACTAGTAAAAATTAAGAAAAGCTAATTAAACCCAAAATGAGCAAAAGAAATAAAAATATATGAAAATAAATGATGCTATACTTAATAAAATTTAAATTACTACTGAAACATAATGTAGCTTCCATTAAAATGAAAAGAGAATTGAGTCATTTTGTTTCTTTGTATAAACTTTCTGTCAACACCATATGATGGCAATAAGATACCATTATTTTCTTGCTTGGCTTTGACAGGGCAATTGTAGAGTTAGTTTGGCAAGTTTTTCAGATTTCCTAAAGGCACTTCTTAAATACTTGATAATAAAATCAAGTATTAATTATAAAATAAATAATAATAAAATCATTATTTTTAAATCACACAGGATATTATGATTTTTGTGTTTCTTTAACATTTTCTTTTGCAATTATTAACTAGCTTAACTCTCTGATATCCTTTTTGTGTGTGTGCGATTTGAGGATTCCCTAATGTCACTCTCACTAACTTAATGAAATCTTACTTTTTTTTTTCTTTTTCGAATTCTACAAGGAATCTTTGCAATTCATTTGTACTAAATTTGCATTAGAATGCTGCAATCCAACAATTATCTGGAGACCTGTCTACACGACCTTTGATGGAATGAGTGGAGGTACATTCGGGTACTAAGTAGAAAATGTGGTTTGGGGTAGACATTAGAAACTAGTTCTATAAATGTTCATACTTGCTTTTTCATGTAGACTTGTAAACGCAGAATCTTACATAATGAGAACTTAATCACTCCGGAGAGCTTATTCACTCGTTGTATTACAGATCCAGGAGAACTGAGTCACTTGACTCAGGGTCACAGGAGTAAATGTGAGAGACTAAACTTAGTTATTCTTAATTTGTATTGTTTGAAAACACTACAAGGCAGTAAAATAAAGATATAATCTCAAAGATTTCACCCAATCCCAGAGTAGTAATTCTCTACTCAAAAAGCCAAATAAAGTTCAACTTTTCTTTCTCTCTTTGCATCATGCATAAACTTCACAGCTCAAAACAGGATATACATTTTAATTACAAACAATAGGAAACCAAGTTGGGGTTAGATATAATAAATAATTTTCTAATAGTTTATTAAATACTAAATGGTTTACAATGTAATATTTAGAATATCTGTATTTCAACAAAATTAGTTATTAATTCTTTTAGTGTTACAGTTAACATTCTGCTACAGCATTCTTAGTAAACATGGGAGTTTCCTGGAGCACCTCCCTACCTCCCATCTAAGGGGAACATGCTAAAATAAGATTGCCACTCTTTATCTGTGACAAGCTGATTATGACCTGCTGTAAAGCACAATGAACTTGCAGTCAGGACATTTGTGTTCATATCTGCATTCTGGCTCATTAACCATGGCTTTTGATAAATCATTATATTTTGAGGTCCTAGCTTCTTCATTTGTAAAATAAAAATGAAGGCAGGTTGACTCCTAAAGCTCCTTCACTTTCCATGATCATGTAATACCATCATATAATTCAGTTTCTGAATTTAAAAAAAGCAACAAAGAAATGAATGACTGTCACACACATGTGGAAAGTAAATTAATTCTGACTTTTAGTTTTTGTAGAGCAGTACCTAAATGTGCATACCTGTTGAGCCAGCAATTCCAACTCAAAGATCTTAATCTACTGCAATACTCTCACATGAGAAAGTATGTACAAAGATAATTACCACAGCACTATTTTTAACTATAAAGAAATATAAGTAATCTAAATATAAAGAATTAGGGTAGTAGCAGTCATGTTATTCATACTCTAGAATACTTTGAGGTACAATTACACAGAAATTGTCCACGATCGAAAGAAGCACATCATTAAAAAGTTAGTTGGTTCTTCCTAGCAAAGCCAAGAAAAAAATAAAACAACAAGAACAACAAAGTAAGCTGAAGAATTACTTGGCATAGATTCAATTTTTGTTAAAAAACTAAGGTTTTGATTTTAAATATATATCACACACACACATACAAACATATGTTTACATATACTTTCATAAGTACACACACACACACTCTCACACAAACTTACAAAAGCTTCTGTAAGAATACATAACGAAGAGTTACCAATCATTACCTCTGGGCCAGGAGTGTTTAATGCAATTTAAATTTGTATTCTACATAGTATACTAACCTAATGCCTACTGGTAATCATTTTCTGAATGCCTACTGGTAAAAATATGTAATCATTTTCTGAAAGTTAAAAAGTGTTGCCCAACACATGATATTTTAAAATCTTAACTTATATGCCTGTCTTCCCTACTGTTATCTCCATATGTTTTCAGCAATTTGTGTGCATGAGGTTAATCAAAATGCTACATTGTAAATGAAACCATCCATTTACACAGTGCCTTTGTCCAGTTAATAAGACCTGAAGAATGTTGATTCATTCTTTTCCTAAGTATGCTACATAAAAATCCTTCAGAAAATGTAAACACATTTAAGGCACCTGCCTGAGAACAAATACACAAAGTCAAAGTGTTGTACAAAATGTCAACAGCAGATGGTGCACATTTGCTCTTCTTAAACAAGTTTTCCATTTTTTCCAGAAAAAGAACAAACTACTAAATATATACACACACACAAATGGCTCTAAAACACAAACAGCCTAACAAATGAGACTTCTTGAGAACTAACAGTAGGAACCAACAGCCTCAATCTATTTCCCTGTAAATAATCTGCTCTTTAGGGATTTGGTTTCTGAATTCAGCCAAAGAACCTATCAGTTTTCAGCAATATACAATGAAAATCAACAAAAAAATTCTTGTCAGAAGCAGTAAATGGCACTAAAGAGGAACATGTCTGCAATGCATAGCAAGAGACAGATGAGTATGACAAGATTATCACATCTAAGATGGGTGATACTGGAGAAAGATGGGAAAGGAAGATAGCCAAAAGTGGGTTGAAATCATTTTTTTCTAAATTTCAACTCTGAATATTACAAAAAAGTTCTGCTTTGTAAATCATGCTTACATCTTCATCCCTAATACTACAAAAGTGTTTTAAACATGACTGTAATCTGAATCACATGGGTAACATTATTCCTTCATAAATTTTGCTTCCCAGGCTCCATTCTGTAATTTCTAAAACAAAATCTTTGAAGGTAGAGATAGGGATCATCTTGAATCAGTGATTTCTTCAATAAATTATATTCATCCATGATTTCCTAAATTGCATTTTTAAAAAAAAATCCATTTAATAAGCTGGCCTGTGCATTTATAATCAAATATCCTTTTGATGTTTATAAAAATATATTTTTAAAATTATGAAGTGTTCAACTATATAAAGTAATTGAAATGATAACTCAAGCCAGAAGTAAAAATTAATACTAGAGCCTTATAATTACAGAAAATTTTAAAATGAAATATTTAATTTATGTTCATTCTTTTTGCTGAAGTATGATTAGGATTAGGTTAGCAATAAAAACATGATTAGTTCAAATGTAAAAAATTAATTGAATTTTGATAAAATTATATGGGTTAATGGGACAGAAATACAACTTAAATGAAAGAAAAAGAATGATGTAAAACATCCAACTGCTAAAAGAAAAGTTTATGTATTTTTGTAATAAATGATAATATCATCTAGCTATATTTATATTCCAGTGGATATGTTTAAAGAAATTATGTTAATTACAAAATGTCAATATCTGCGATATGTTAGAAATCACATCTTTTACAACTATGTAAACTTATGATGAAACTATTTAGATGTAAACCTAAAAATATGTGAGTGGTTATATAGTTTTCAAAATCTTCTTAGAATTCTTATAGATCAGTGCTCTGCACTATGATAAATTTACAAAAGACAAATGGGCTGGCTGGTCTGTGCCCTAAAATGAAAGCTTTCCTTCTCAGTAATTTCTTCAGATCATAGACACATAGTCCATAAGAACAAGATTCTTTATAAAATTATAGTTTCTAAATAATATTTTTGGAAATATTCTAGGTTTAAAGACGGCATATTACAATGCAGAGGGTTTTTTTAAAAAACAAATAAACAAACAAAAAACATATTCATTATGGTAAAAAAAGGTACAAAAAATGTGATTTTTAAATGAATTCATTGTTAGAACTAATTGTAAAGTTCTTTGTTTGGAAACATGATTTTGAAAACTTTTCCTAGGATCACCTGATATATGCTGTGGGAGCGAATACCCATTTTTAATATAGGCCTATACAAATTTATAATCAGATAGGAGAGTTTAGTTCATAAATACATTATAGACTATTTCTAAGCCAAACTTTAATTATTTGGAATTACAGAAATGTAGGACGATACTTGCCTTACTTCTTCCTTTGATAGTGAAAGAGTGTTTCAGTGAATTTGTCATTTGTAAACTCATTGCCAATTCATTTTCAAACTTCATGTAATTATTTGAAAATATTTTAATTAATTTATTAGCCACATATCAAATTTTTGAGGTATAGTACTTACCCTCTGTTATATTTTGCTATTTCATCAAACAAAAGTTTCCACCGAGGACGTCCAAGAAACAGTCTTGAATTCAGTGCATGATATTTTTCTCCAATTATCTTCTGCCAAAAAGAAAGCACTATATTATTCGAGATTTAGTTAAGTAACCTAGTTCTCTAACATCGTTTCTACTGGTGCTGCGGCTTCCCACCAAATTGCTGTGATATAAAGAATGTAAGTATCAAATGGCAACCTATTACGTAGAATTATTTCAAAATATCGTTTCCTTTCTCCTTTCTTTTAAAATCCATTATCTCCTTGAATTCCATGTGTTTGTTTTTAAACAAACAAACAAAATCTATTCTGGTAAAAAGGTACAAAAATTTGATTTTTAAATGAATTAATTGTTAGAACTAATTGTTAGAACTAATCTCCTTGAATGCCATTCTGACAAATGGCTAATTTTCTTAGATTTCAGTTAGTCGTTTCATCTTTAAAGAACTGCAATGTAAGACAAAGAATGAATTCTAATTGGTCAATCTCAAAAAGGCTCAGCACATGGATTTCAATTGAAGTATTTTGGCACCACAGATACAGTTGTCATATTTGGCTCATTATGTAAGTAAAATACTACAAATTGTCATCGTAAATTTGGGGAAATGATCCTAGACAAGACAGCTCACAACAGCAGAACTCCAAAATTGGGTCTATCAACAAATGGCTGTGAACGGGCTTCTGTTTGCAATTAAGAGAGCATTAGATCTAAATCAATGTGAAGAGTCAGAGTGAACTGCGGAGAAAGGAGGAAGTATCTGAGTCCCAGGCAGGCAAACTGAGAACCAGATACAAATTATGCTTCATACCTTAATTATCGCAATACCAGGAGGAAAAGTGATATTGACTTACTTCATGAGACTGGTAAAATGAAATACTTTTTACATACCAAGTAGGGTAGAAATATGACTGGGAAAATTAGAGTTAGATTAGTTTTGAGGTAACTGAAAACATTCAAATTTTATATTCAAAGTATTGTGAAAATGTATGACAAAAAGTACTAAAATAAAATTTGTGAATGCATTCATGCCTAGATTTATACACCAGTCCAGCTCTTCAATGTTGTCTTCAAATATTAGTTTCATCACTTGCAAAATGGGAATAACATTAACTGCTTAACTCTGTTTTAATTACATAAACTAATATATGTGAAATTATTAGCACAGTTCCTAAAACAGTAAATAAATAATGTATGATGGCTATCATTATTTTTTAGTTTTCTTTGTCTAGAAATAAGCTTAATTGTATATGAACTCATCTTCTCACTCCACATAAAACGTGCCCTCAATAAAAAGAAATCACAAGGCTGTTCATGTGTAGTCTGAATTTCAGAAGAACTTGAGGCGATAGTGAAGAGGGGAGGGGCAGACCTTATGAGTCTGCCCCAGCTCCCTGTGAGGACAAATGGAAGGCATAATATGGTTGACTTCAAGGACAAGCTATGACTTTTCTGGACATATTCCAAAGGAGGCTTTCCTCTAGGAAACTTCTGTTCGAACCACCTGAAGGAATTTTCTTCCACCACAGCTCCTACAGTAAATCTATTATCAACAGGCTTGTTTAATTTACGATAACATCAACCACATACCTGTATCCCATCTGTTTGACTGAGGTACAGCTGGATGTTGACATAGTCAGGTCTGTTCTCTTGCCAAAACTGAGAGGACAGAAAAAGGAATAGACTTATTACAATTCTGTGGGTATACTCAGATTTTCTCCTATTCTAACATGTGATTCTAGAATTTAACACAACCTAGCTTATCATAGTCAATATCTATAAGAAAATGAATACACACACACACATACACACAAATATATATAACAGATTCTAATGTTAATAATCTGGCCTCTTGGTATGAATTAGGTCTGATGATGGTAGTGGTAGGGAATAATTTTCTGTTATCTTTATAGATAGAAAATTTAGCATGCTAAATGCTATACAAATATTAGTCTTTCTGAAATACTCCTTATTTTATTCCTTAAGAGTCTCAAAATTGTACCAGTTTACTCATCAAGAACATGAATTTCTTGAGAAAAAAAGACAATAGTGATTTAATTTATGCATGCTAGCAAATATAAAACAACGCAAATAGATACTTTTTCCTGTTCCTGCCTTCCGCTTATTCAGCAATGGGCTCTGGTTTCTCTTGCACAAAAATGCACGAGGCAAAAATATACCTGCAAAAATAAATAGTCTAGAAAAAAATATGGAACAACAACCCCCTCATTTCCCGCTCCCCGAAGGCTTTGGCAACCTGAGAGGATTTTACTGTATCTGAATTGTTTGAAATATTTTTAGCAAGGATGCATATGTAGAGACTATTCTACTTCCTGCCTCTGCAAATTAAACTACTCTAGGGACCTCCTATAAGTGACAGCATAATATATTTGTGCTTTCGTGTCTGGCATATTTCATTTAGCATTATGTCTTCAAAGTTCATCCATGTACTATGTGTCATAATTTCCTTCCTTTTTAAGGCTGAATAGTTTTGCATTGTACGTATATATCATAATTTGTTTATCCATTCAACTATTGATGAATATTTGGGTTGTTTCCATCCTTTGGCTATTGTGAATAATGCTTCTATTGGCATTGGCATACAAATATCTGTCCAATTGCCTGCTTTTAATTCTTCTAGGTACATATCCAGAACGAATGTTTTCATTTATTTTTATTTATTTATTTTGCATAAAGTCTGGAGGACTTACATAATCCACCTCTTCCCAGAAAAGCACAGATACCACCTCTCTAATTGCCTGTCCTACTATTCTTTCTCTTGCTTACTCTGCTTCATCCACACAGATCTCCTTTCTCTTCTTTCAGGACACCAAGCATACCGCTGCCTCAGAGCCCTTGCCTATGAAGTTAGGTTTCTCTATCTTGATTTTTTTTCTCCAAAATATGTGTCTAGTCTGCTCATTCACTTCAGTCAAGTCTGCTCAAATGGCATTATAGCATTTTGTTTGATGGTTGTTCCTGAACGTGCAATATAAAGTAACACACTCTCTACTGTTTATGCTGCTTTACTCCTACTTTCCCTTCCTTCTTTGTCCTAACCCGAATCTCAGAACCTGATGCTCAATGTATTTATTGGTTGTTGTCTATCTTGCCCCCTTAGAATGTAAACCACATGAGATCAGAAACTTGGTTTTATTTTGCCACCTGATGAGGTTTCAGATCCTAGAATAGTTTCAGATTGATAGTTAGCAGTTAATAAATATACACTGAATGATAGAATGACTGACTGAATGAGTGAATGCATGCACAAAGAGGTATATATAATGATATCCATTTCAGCATTCTTTGTAATAAAAAAGTATCTAACATTAGAGAATTGTTCAGTAAGCTAGATATATCTATACAATGAAATACTCTAAAAGAATCAGGTGGGTCTATCATCTCTAATTGTTGGCACCGGGAAAAACAATGAGGCAGTTCTATATGCACTAATACCAAAAAATAGTCAAGACATAGTAATCAATTAATAAAGGAATTTGCATAAACAATATAGATAGTATGATATAATTTATAGAACACTTAAGAGTTACCTCTGTTTACATAGATTAGGTAGGGAAGGTAGTAAGAGAGGATTTTACTTTATCAGAATTGTTTGAAATATTTGTAGCAAGGATGCATATGTGTATCACTTGTATAATGTGAATAAAGATAAATAGGTCAAATGTTACAGGTAGGATAGGAAAAGATTCCTGCTTTATCTCTGCAAAAAATAAAACACAGAATTTGGGATTGTTGAGATTTGTATCGTATACCAAAAAGTCTGGTGATTTGCAGTATTAAAGATGGCAATCAAGGGTAAGTGCTAACAGAACAAAGGATGGAAGGTGTTACAGCAGGAGCCTTCTGGTAATTCCCTCCATTGTCTTCCCTCATCACCTTTAGCCATATGCATACATTTCAATGTGAAACACCCTATGTTAAAACATAGAAATGAATGTTTCTATGTTAAAATATATACTCACAAATATCCATATCTGAAAAGATGTGTGCCTAATTGCTAACAGATATTATCTCTGATTTTTTATGTTTAAGAGACTTATTTCTTTCCTTGCTACTTATCTGCATAATTTCTATGGTTTATTCTATGGCGAGCATTTATTGCTCTTGTAATATAAAAGCTATAACATTTTTAATTTGAAAAATTGCAAAACTAGAACCAACCCTAATGTTACCTTGTTATGCAACATACAGAGTAAGTCTGCAAACCAATGGAAGGACTGGATATCTCTGCATGCCCAAATAAAGTATAGTCTTCTAAGCTTGTATGGTTTCCAGTCATCCCTTTAAAATTAAAATAACATGATAGTGATTAGGATGGCAAACACAAATATTAAAGAATTCATATATCTTTGAAAGTTTCCTTTTCATTAGTAAGCAACCAATAGAAATATCCAATAGAAACCAATAGAAAAATCAGTCATTTACATTCTAGCATCTGATAGCACAAGACCTAAATGAATTTAATATGCAATATACTGACTCAAGGATATGACATACTTCATGAATTTAGGTGTTTAAGTGTTAAATGAATTTAAGTGTGAATAATATTGACAAGTATGAATATCATCCATTTCCAGTTGAAGGCCATAACTGAACTGGACCAGAATAATATTGGGCTCTGCATCACAGAAAAAAACAAGTTTTCAACTTTCAGTGAATTCTATCACAGACTCAGTAGGGCTCCAAAGGTCATTCAGTCTTGCCCTGGATTTTTGGCAAAATGAGCCAAAACCATTCCAGAAACTTGGTTGTTTATCCCCTCTTAAAAATCATTAAAGAAAGAGATTTCACAATCATGTATGATGTAATGCATTCCAGCAACTCATAATTCCAAGTTTGGATCCCTATTTATAAAGTAGGTTTGAGGTTAAGAAAATGTTCTTCCTTTTTCATAACATTAGGTATCCAAATAACTTGTAATGTGTTGTCAGAAACAAACTATTTCTGGCTTGGAGCATGATCATTTTTGTAAGAACCACCAGAAAGTACCAAATTTACATCTAGTATTTAAAACTGAAATAAAATATCATTCAACCACATCACTTAAATTTATTATTGCTTTTTTGGTTCTGCAGAAAAAAAAGTAAATGGAATAGATATGAGAATAACTTTCTACTTTTTATTTTGCTTTGTGTTTTCATAAGAATATCAATCAATTAACTTTTGCTTACAATCCTGAAACTAAAATAAGTTTTAGTTTAGTATTTCCTGGTCAGACAATTTCACCTTTTTTTTTTTTTTTTTTTGCAGAGTCTTGCTCTGTCACCCAGGCTGGAGTGCAGTGGTGCCGTCTCCCCACACTGCAACCTCCACCTCCCAGGTTCAAGAGATTCTCGTGCCTCAGCCTCTGGAGTAGCTGGGATTACAGGCATGCACAACCACGCCTGGTTGCTTTCTGTATTGTTAGTAGAGACAGGGTTTCACCATGTTGGCCAGACTGATCTTGAACTCCTGCCATCAAGCGATCCACCTGCCTCGGCCTCCCAAAGTGCTGGGATTACAGGTGTGAGCCAATGTGCCCGGCCACAATTTCACCTTTGAAGTTACTTTCTTTAGTCTGTTGTAAATTTGCTAAGTAACAAATGAAGGAATGATGTGTTCAGTTGTCATCTCAGAAAAGCCTGACCATATTTCAACAATAAACCCAACCCTTTATTTCCATATCCATTAATGTCTACCTTTTGTCAAAATTCTAATATTTTCTGAAATAATTTTATTTATATTTTTCATTGCTTTCTTTTTTACCTGCCCCATTTGAACGCAAGCTTTTTAAGGGCAGGGTCTCTGTTTTCATTCATTGCTGTCTTCCCAATACCTGTAAGACCTATTGGCACATGGGTGCTCAAAAATATTTGTTGACTGAATGAATGAGTAGAACCACTTGCCGCTGATGAGGACACAGAAAATGAAGGATGGAGGCGAATGGCTTTTAACAAAGGAAAAGGACAGAGGAGTGCATAACTGTGATATGACATCTTTCTACAAGAGAATATGCTAGGAGCCACAGACCACATGTTGAGAATCACTGAATTATTCCCCTCATCAATCAGTAAATGGAGGTCCTTGATCAACAAGTAGAATAATTCAATAAGGAATTATTTTATACTAAAAAGAGAGATATCAGAAATATTGGCAGTTCTCTATTTGGATTAACAAAATAGATCAAAATGACATACAACAGGGTGTTGAGTATTTATGCAAATGGAGTTACTCCAATGACTCCAGCCATGCAGAGGCTGACCTCATAGTTCAGTGATTCCTCAAATGGACTTCCAAAAGGACCATCAATATACAGCCTGTAGAGCAGTCAGAAAAAGGCGGGAAAAAAATGAAAATAAGTGAAATTAATTTTCTGTACCATAGAGCAAACATGCTGAATGCAATCTCTAGATTTTGTGATGGGTCAGGCCTTATTTCATGGTTTCTCATAGTGATTAGTTTAAAGGAGTAGCAGATGTTGTTTATGAAGGGTCAAGATTAAAACAAATACATCTGTTTCTAAGTGTGCCTTTTTTGAGGGAACCATTAATTAAAAGTATAGGGTAATGTAAATATGATCATGCCAGGTAGCTAAGGACTAAGCTCTGATCATATTAGATTACTATATATGACTAAATTAAAGTAAGAATTGCTTTACTGTATCTAAATTCAATAAACATTTTTTCAATGGCTAGATCAGTACAGGAAATACTTATTTAAACATTTACTATGTGAACAGAAAAATAATGAGGAGTAAGGAAAAGAATCTAACACCGTCCCTCCTCTTGCCCTGGTTGTTCATAAGTATAGAACTTTACTTACGAACCGATAGTTCTTTAGCTGTAAAGGACAATCACAAAGGAAGCTCTGAAGCTCTAACTACTCTGCTCATGTTTATATATTCAAGTATGTGAGTGTGAGACAGAGAGAGAGAGAGAGAGCATAGAGAAATCCTTCTTAACTGCAATGGAAATGCTAATTGTTCATATAATATTCATCCTCCCATTCTTTCTTAGTAACAGACAATTAATTTTATTCAGGGAAGCATAAAGTCCAGCCAAAATACTACATTTCTCAGACTCCCTACATCTGTTTTGGTTGTGTGACTATATTTTGGCCACTGCCCCCTCCTTCCTACTGGTCTGCTTTCTGAGCTACACACCCACACACACACACACACACACACACCCCACTCCCCACAAAGCTACTCTTTGGTGTTTTGAAATAACTTTGGACAGGACGACTAGAACTCAGCGTTCTAGTCATTTACTAAGGCTGGGATTCCAGACAAGTAACTTGTCCTCCTAAAGTGGATTTCTTTCATCTACAAAAGGGTCAATAAGATGGGATGCTACAGAAAAAAAGTGTGCTAAGAATTGTAGAGGGCCACACAAATATCAGAAATACATTTTGTTAACGGCATCAATGAGTACCTACAGTATACTGACAGGCCTTCTGTGAGGCCCAGTATTGATGCAAGAAATGGGCTAAGTCCAGTATGAGCTGGGAAATGTAGGTGGGAATTTGGTTTCAAGGCCCTTAGAGAATCAGTTTTCATTTGAAATGTTTTTGTTTTTTTTTTTGTACCAGGAGAGAGAAAATTTTGCTTTTCTTGGAAAAAATAAGAAGATAAAATTATTAGTATTTGATTACTTCATGACATCTAGTTTTTTGAGGGAGATGGAAATGGAAACTACTTAAACCACTTTTTTTTACATATTTAATCTGATTAATGTGTGAAATACACTGCCTTTCATTTATGAGCAGTGACTTTCTCCCTATCATACATAGTACATGTTCTTTAAAAGAATGTTATGTTGCTATTGTCATAATATATGTAACCAGATTGTAGAAATTAAAGGCAACTCTTTAAAGTCTTGCTATAACATAGTAGAGATGAAATGAACTTCATATATTTTTAAATTTCAGTTGATAACTAATGAAAAGATCCTTTATGAAGGATTGTGTATCTAAGATAATTCTAAGGATAAGAGATATCTTCTTCCCTGACCCACTCAAAAGTATATAAACATTTTTTGACATTTAAGTTTCTCCTTTGAAAGTAGAATTTATTTACATTTTAAAAAACTGATTTAAACCTTTTATTAAGCTTAATGAGTTTCAAGCTACGTTTCTGTTTTATGTGGCTGAGTGTGAATATACTTGTTAAAGCTTTTAACATGGTGCCTGAACATAGTAAGAACCTGATAAATATTAGATATTTAAGAATAATATAATAAATATTATACTATTATTAAAAGTAAAGGTTTGTAATTTACAACATTTAATGTTCATATAAGTGTAAATTTTTGAAAAATATTTGCCTTTTAAAATCTTCTCTGATCATGTGTCACTTTAAACAGTTCTTTTAATTAATAAAAAATTTCAAGGGTCTGGTGCAGTGGCTCACACCTGTAATCCCAGCAGTTAGGGAGGCTGAGGCAGGAGGATTGCTTAGGGCCAGAATTTTGGGCCCAGCCTGAGCAACAAAATGAGACCCTTGTCTTAAGTATTAGCTGGGCACGGTGGCACGTGCTTGTAATCCCAGGTACTAGGGAGGCTGAGGCAGGAGGATGGCTTGAGTCCAGGAGGTTGAGACTGCAGTGAGCTATGATCACACCACTGCACTCCTGCCTGGGTGACAGAGTAAAACTCAGTGTCCAAAATTTTTTTTCTTTTTCAAGACATGCCTGAGACTCTTACCTCAGAAACCTAAAATAAGCTATATTAACAATGGATACTCTTCACTGAACATTTAATCCAAGGTTGGTACTGAATGTTCTATGTATACCTTCACTGTTAATCCACACAACAACTTTCATAGGAAAGTATAATGCCTATTTTATTGCATTGGGAACTAAAACTAAAAAAGGTTAAATAATTTTCTTAAGGTCACACTTATATTAAGGGGGGATGACTTTTACTAAATTCATTCTGAGTCTAACTCCAAAGCTTAGTTTGTTAATAATCAGATAATAATCTTTACAATTACCAATTATTTTGGTGAGGGGTATTATATAAAGGTAAAAACAAAAAAAGTTTCCAGGACAATTATCATCTAACAATTCTCTCTTCATGTAGGAAAAAAGTGAGTGTGATAAACTATTCCTCAGGAGAGGATGTTATTGCAGTTTTAGACCATTCTAGTCTCAGGAGCTAATCATATCAATAGAAACAACAAACAAAAGGAGTGAGTTTAGAAAGCTCACGATGGTTCTCCCTTGATGGCTTTCAAATTTTACTGTGTATCAAAATTTCCTGCAGGCTTGTTAAAACACAGAATGCTAGGCCCTACCCCGAGACTTGCTGACTCAGAAATCTGAGCATTTGTAGTTTTCACCATTCCCCCAGGAGCTACTGATGTTGCTGATAGAGCAGGTAAGGAGGATCAGGAGTGAGCTAGTGCAGGTGGTGATTTTACAGAGGGTCCCCAACTTAGGATGGTTCAATTTAATTTTTTTTAACTTTATGATGGAGTGAAAGCAATATATATTCAATAGAGACTGTACTTAAAATTTTGAATTTTGACCTTTTCCTGCACTAGTAGTATTTGGTACAATATTCTCTCATGATGCTGGGCAGCTGCCACAGCTTCCAGCCAGACACATGATCATGAGCTTAAACAACCAATACTGTACTCTGCAGTGTACAGCAGCATTCAATACAGGTAGGTAATTTTTTTCAATCCCTGCCCCTTTCCCTCCCACATCTTGTATTCCCCAGTGTCTATTGTTTCCATCTTCATGTCTATGTGTACCCAATGTTTAGTTTTCTGTTTTTGCATGTAAACATAAATAAAAACAAATAACCTATTTTCATCTCAATAGATGCAGAAAAAGTTTTTGATAAAATCCAACATCCCTTTATGGTAAAAACCCTCAATAAACTGGGCATATAAGGAATATACCTCAAAATAATAAGAGCCATCTATGACAAACCCACAACCAACACGATCCTGAATTGGCAAAAGGTGGATGTGTTTCCCTTGAGAACCAGAACAAGACAAGGACGTCCACTCTCACCACTCTTATTCAACATAGCACTGGAAGTCCTAGCCAGAGCAATCAAGTAGGAGAAAGAAAGGAAAGGCATCCAAATAAGAAATGAAGTCATACTATCTCTCTTTGCTGATGATTTGCTTCTATACCTAGAAAAACCTACTCTGCCAAGAGAACTGATAAATGACTTCAGTAGTTTCAGTATACAAAGTCAGTGCACAAAAATCAGCAGCATTTCCATATACCAGTAATATTCAAGCTGAGAGCCAAATCAAGAACTCAAGCCCACTTACAATAATTTGTAATTATTATCTAATGCAATCTCATGTTAAAAGGAACACTGGAAAAATAACAATTTGATGTTTATCTCTTGGAATTCTGAATGATTCAGTCAAGGCCTTACAAATTAATTAATTTAAAGTCTGCAAGGATAAAAGTTCTTTGGCAAGGAGTCCCCATAAAATAATCATGCTAACAAAATTATACTCCAATAACCATTATGAATGGATACATTTAATATAAGATTTTTTAACAAAGGAAGGACTTCAGGCTACTTTGTCGACTGACAATCTCTGCCCAAAAAAAAAAAAAAAAAAAAAAAAACAAAAAACCCCAAATAAACAACAAAAATCCCTCAAACCTAAAAACTAAAGAGTCTGAAAAGATGTATGGCAGCTGAATGCAGGATGGGGTAACAAAGAAAGAAAATGTCTCTCAAAGGCACTAGACGGAGAATTACCTGTGCTTAATCTATCTCCAGAAAGTGGCTACATCCCCAACTTGTTCTGAAATTTTAGCCACCTAACCTCCAGCTATAGACTCAGCTTGGCCCTGTCCTTCAACCAATTCTTATCTGAGTCAGGAATGAGTTGTGCTCTCAGTCAGCACTAAGGCTCGTTTATTGCTTGCTCATTAGCCTTGCACTAACACAGCTTCTTGACTTACATCTCTGAGCCAAAATCTTTACAATTTAAGCAGTGCCTCAGTTTTACAGTCCTGATGACAGGGTTTTGCCTTGTGAATCCCAGCCCAGGGGTTGGGATCCACTACCCGCTGATAGACCAGAGTTCTTTGGACATCCTACTTGCCTAGTTTTGCAAACATCAATAGCATTAGGCATTCTTATAACTACATTCCACACTCTAGTCAGAATACTACCTTTTAGATCTCTTGCCATCCAGGTATTCGAATTTCACATACTATATAAAAGAAAGCCTAAATTTAAGGATTAGAAGATGAAAGACAGTAATTCTCTAATGAAAGACAATATGTATACTGTGGAAAATCTTATGAATTACTGTGCTTGTAGAAACTGTACCAGAATAACCACTACCACAAATAGGCAGACACACAAGGGAAAGGGCTCCTTCCTGACTAATCCAAGCAGAGCATATCACCCAGAGCCACCTCTACCAGATAGGACAATGCATCCCTTCTGACAGGATTTAGAATGGATTGAAGATACAAAAGCAGCCCACATGGCAGAGCCTTTCCCCCTGCCCTGAGGCAAGCAATGGTTTTGAGAAATGGCATAACAGAGCTGACAATGAGAATGGTGATGAAAATTCACTTTTGCAAGAGGCCAGGTGCTTTCTATGCTTTTATTTAAATATCGCAAAGACTTACAAGAAAGAATTGTGTCATGCATTGGGCATTCCTCAAAGCAACATTAGAAGGAAGATATCTCCATTATCATCATTTGTAATACAGAACAAAAAGTCAACATAAAGTTGCTCAGATAGCCACTCTCCCTCAATCATGAGGACTTAAACCAGAATGTGACTCAAGTGAAAAAGCTTGAAGCCACCCAAAGCTCCTTCCTTCTCCCTCTCTCTCCTCCTCTCCTTCTTGCATAATAGTCATCACATTCTGTTAATTATGCCTCCTAACACCCTTAGACATCTATCTGATCTTCCATATTACTATTACCACAGTACGAATCCATTATCATTTCCTGCCTGAATATGAAATTGCCAACTAGCTTGTGTGCTGGCCCCATGTAGTACCTCATGTACCTCTCTACTTTCATGAGAAATCTATAAAACTGTAAGTCTGATTATCTTTCTCCTTGGCTTAAAATCCTTTCATGGGTCTTCATTGTCTTTACAACAAAGTCCAAGGTCATTTAAGTGGCAGTCCAGGCCAGATGCAGTGGCTCATATCTGTAATCCCAATATTTTGGGAGGCTGAGGTGGGATGATGGCTTGAGGCTAGGAGTTCAAGACTAGCCTGTGCAACAAAGACCAGGCCTGTGATAACAATGTGATAAGACCTATGTCTCTGGCCAGGTGTGGTGGCTTATGCCTGTAATCCCAGCACTTCGGGAGGTCAAGGCAGGCGGATCACCAGAATCAGGAGTTCAAGATGAGCCTGGCCAATATGGTGAAACCTTGTCTCTACTAAAAATACAAAAAGTAGCTGGGCAAGGTAGCACACGCCTGTAATCCCAGCTACTTGGGAGGCTGAGGCAGGAAAATTTCTTGAATCGGGGAGGCAGAAGTTGCAGTGAGCAGAGATCGTACCATTGCACTCCAACCTGGGTAACAGAGTAAGACTCCATCTCAAAAAAAAAAAAAAAAAAAAAAAAAACTATGTATCTAAAAAAAAAAATTGTATATATATGTATGCCAGGCCTGGTGGCACACACCTGTGGTCCCAGCTACACTGGAGGCCAAGGCATGAGGTTCGCTTAAGCCCAAGATGTTGAGGCTGCAGTGGGCTGTGCTTGCACCACTGCACTACAGCTTGGGTGACAGAGTGAGACCTTGCCTCAGAAAACAAAAGGTATTCTAGGCCCTGTCCACATTTCTCCTTATACCTCGACTCCAAGTGTATGTGTGCTTGCACATGCATGCACACATGTGCTAGCACACATACACAGTTTTCAGCCACCTGGGAGTAAGCCCTCAATGACCCACCACTTCTAAGTTAAGTATAATTTGAGGGGCCAAACACATCTGGATTGGAGACCCAGCTCTGCCATGTGACTTTGGGTAGGGCATTTACCTCTTTGAATCTCAGTCCCCTTATCTGTAAAATTAGGGAAACAGTACTACCTAACTTATAGAGGAATAGTAAGAATTAAATTAATAATGCATATAAAGCACAATTCCTGGCATGCGTAGTGTTCATTATGTGTTACTATTACAAACAAAAATAACTTGGGCCAGGCACAGTGGCTCACACCTGTAATCCCAGCGTTTTGGGAGACCAAGACAGGTAGATCACCAGGTCAGGAGTTCGAGACC
The DNA here is from genome assembly GCF_000001405.40 of Homo sapiens. Lineage (NCBI taxonomy): Eukaryota > Metazoa > Chordata > Mammalia > Primates > Hominidae > Homo > Homo sapiens. The sequence continues at coordinate 49,357,126 of NC_000011.10, read as the reverse complement.
AGCCTGGCCACTATGGTGAAACTTTGTCTCTATTAAAAATACAAAAATTAGCCCGCGTGGTGGCACGCACCTGTAAACCCTTCTACTCGGGAGGCTGAGGCAGAAGAATTGCTTGAACCCGGGAGGCGGAGCTTGCAGTGAGCCGAAATCACACCACTGCACTCTGGCCTAGGTGACAGAGCGAGACTCTGTCTAAAAAATAAAATAAAATATAATAAAATAACTTGGCTCAGGATCAGATGACAAGTACATTACAGACATGCAGATTGAACAGAAATTATTAAAGATAGATGATGTCTTGAAGAAGAACTCAAAACTTGGCTAGGAAAGAGAAAGGAGGATAAGCTGGAGAACAGACTGCGGAAAGGTCATCTGAGGCTTTGCAGTTTAAGGGTATTACCCCAAATCACCATTTGAAGTCATTTTTACGTAGCCCATTAGAAATGAGATTGAGGTAGAACATTGCTTTTATTGTCCAAACAATGAAGGTTGTTCTTTGGCAGCAAACCAAGTCAAAAAAGAACAGCTCTAAAATTTGTCATAAATGATATTCCCCTCTCTAAACAGTTCTGGTATTAGGAAGCTCAGAGAACTTGATCTTTATGAGAACCAAGTAGAAACAGTTTATTCTTGTATTTTCACAATATTTTTACATACGTTGTGGTTAAAACTTCCAGAGCCACTGGGTCATGTTTTGCTGGTTTAATTGCCAAAATGGTTGCAAGTAATTTATGGATAAAATTATATCAGATGTACTTAAACATTTTACATGTCCAAGCTGTATTTACAAGGATAAAAATATATTATAACTACTCTCTAGTCTACATATGTTATGAACCTAAATCCTTCAGAGTTTATTAGCAATAAAACTTGTTTCTTTATCTCCATTTGTTTCCTCCAACCTATAAGTCAACAATATGCATTTTGTATTAGATACACATTCTTTTTTTATTCCTTTCCACTCATCTATCTCTTTCTGACAATTATCACACCTATTCGTGCTCTGAGAATTTTCATGGAACAATGTCTACAATTACATCCTGAGGAGAATGGATGCCCTGGCTTTGGCAATGAGTCAAATAAGAGCTCACAAATGTAAAAATTGATTAATGAACATTCTTGTATTTTAGAAGAGTGTTCCCAAGCACCATTGCAGGTGATATTTTTTAAATGCCTTTCCTTTAAACATACACATACATACACATATACATTTCAGAACTAGTCAGTTCTCTTCATGAATATTTTTCACCTAAATAAAGGACATACATTTCCATATTTCAATATTTGTTAGACGTCTCTTGGTAACAGAAAGTTAAAGATTATAGGGACACTATGTTGACTAAATAGAAACCCCAGTCCAAATCCAAACTACTACAGCTCACACTAACCAGTGCACAATGAGTTCATGTTAGTAATATTATGATCTATGTTGGTTATGCAATGATCTGTAAATAGTCTGTGATATGGTATAATTTTATAGGGCAAGGAAGTTGCTTTGTAACCCATATTTTAGGTCTTAAAACATATTTCAAACAGAAAAATGAGGAAAAAATCTCAATGTAGATACATATAACAGTGGTTGTGAATGAAATACATTCTAATTGTTTGACTCGTTTGACTCATTTTTCAACTTTACAGAATTTTTTTTATGTTACAAAGCTACAAATTCTTTGACTTTCAGTTATCTGCAATGATGAATTAAATGTGTGTGTTCTGACTGCAACTACCAATCATTTCTCCTTCTCATTCCCTTACCTGGGACCATCCTCTTCCCTGAGACAAAACAATATTGAATTTAGGCCAATTAACAACTCTAAAATGGCCTCTAAGTTTCAAGTGAAAGGAGAGTTGCATGTCTCTTACTTCAATCAAAAATTGGACATGATTAAACTTAGTGAGGAAGGCATGTTGAAAGCTGAGATAGGCATAAAGTTAGGCTTCTTGTGCCAAACAGTGAGCCAAATTGCTAATGGAAGGGAAAAAGTTTTTGAAGAAAATTAAAAGTGCTACTTCAGTGAACATATGAATAATAAGAAAGCAAAACAGCCTTATTGCTGATATGGAGAAAGTTTTAGTGGTCTGGATGATTAAACCAGCCACAACACAACATTCTCTTAAACCAAAGACTAATCCAGAACAAGGCCCTAACTCTGTTCTATTCCATGAAGGCTGACAGAGATGTGGAAGCTGCAGAAGAAAAGTCTGAAGCTAGAAGAGGTTGGTTCATGAGGCTTAAGAAAAGAAGCCATCTCTATAATATAAAAGTTCAAAGCAAAGCAGCAAGTGCTGATGGAGAAGTTGCAGTATATTATCCAGAAGATCTAGCTGACATAATAGATGAAGGTGACTATACTAAACAACAGATTTTCAATGTAGACAAGACAGCCATCAAGTGGTAGATGCCATCTATGGCATTCACAGCTGGAAAGGAGCAGTCAATGCCTGGTTTCAAAGCTTCAAAGGATAGACTGACTCTTGTCTATGGACTAATGTAGCTGGTCACTTTAAGTTGAAGCCAATGCTCATTTACCATTCTGAAAAACTTAAGGCCCATAAGAATTATGCTAAATCTACTCTGTCTGTACTCTATAAATAAAAGAACAAAGTCCAGATGAAAACACATCTGTTTATAGATAGCGTGGTTTACTGAATATTTTAAGCCCACCAGAAAAAAAAAAAGAAGATTCTATCTAAAGTATTACTACTCACATAGGCAGTAAGCAAAGCTCACACCGGAACAATAACAATGAAATGGATTCAAACTAATTGTCCATCAATGGATGATTGGATAAAGAAAATACTGTATATATACATAATCAAATACTATTCAGGAACAAAAAAGAACAAAATAATGACTTTTGCAGCAATATGGATAAAACTGTAGACCATTACCCTGAATGAAATAACTCAGACACAGAAAGTCAAATACTTCATGTTCTCACTTAAAAGTGGGAGCTAGATGATGTGTACACATGGACGTAGAGTATGGAATGATAGACAGTGGAGACTTGAAATGTTGCAGGGGGGCTAGGAAGTGGGTGAATAATGAGAAATTACTTATTGCATACAATGTATGTTATTCTGGTGATGGATACCCTAAAAGCCCTGACTTGGCTACTACACAATCTATCCATGTATCAAAATTACATATGTACCACATACATTTATACAAATAAATTTTTAAAATTACTGCTCATTGACAATGCACCTAGTCAACCAAGAGCTATGATGTAGATGTACAAGGAGATGAATGTTGTTTGCAGGCCTGCTAACATTACATCCGTTTTGCAATCCATGGATCAAAGAGAAATTCTGACTTTCAATTGTTATTATTTAAGAAATACTTTTCATAAGGCTATAGCTACCATAGACAGTGATGCCTCTGGTAGATCTGGGCAATGTAAATTTAAAAACATCCTGAAAATTATTCACCTTCTAGATGGTATTAAGAACATTCATGATTCATGGGAGGAAGTCATAATATCAACATTAATAGGAGTTTGGAAGAAGTGATTTGAGCCCTCGTGGATAACTTTGAGGGGTCCATGACTTCAGTGGAGGAAGTAACAACAAACATAGTATAAATAGAGAACTAGAATTATAAGTGGAGCCTGAATATATGACCGAATTGCTGCAATCTCATGATATAATGTTAATAAATGAAAAGTTGCTTACTATGGATGAGCAAATAAAGTAGTTTTGGTTTTGTTGTTTGTTTTGTTTTTTGTTTGTTTGTTTGTTTTTGGAGATAGAGTTTCACTCTGTTGCCCAGGCTGGAGCGCAGTGGCACAATCTCAGCTCACTGCAACCTCCACCTCCTCGGCTCAAGCAATTCTCCCACCTCAGCCTCCCAAGTAGCTGGAAATACAGGCGTGTGCCACCACAGCCGGCTAATTTTTATATTTTTAGTAGAGATGGGGTTTCACCTTGTTGGCAAAGCTGGTCTAAAACTCCTGTCCTCAGGTGATCCACCTGCCTCGGCTTCCCAAAGTGCTGGGATTACAGGAAGAAAATAGTTTTTTTGAGATAAAATCTACTCCTGGTAAAGAAGCTATGAAAATGCTGAAATGACAATTTACTTGATAAAGCAACATCAGGGTTTGAGAGGATTTACTACAATTTTTAGAGAAGTTAGGCTGTGGGTAAAATGCTATCAAACAGCATCACATGCTACAGAGAAATCTTTTGTAAAAGGAAGAGCCAACTGATGCAGCAAACTTCATGGTTTTATACTAAGAAACTGCTGCAGGTGCCCCTAACTTTAACAACCACCTTCCTAATCAGTCAGCAACCATCAACATAGAGGAAAGATCCTCTACCAGCAAAAAGTTTATGACTTGCTGAAGGCTTAGATGATTTTTAGCATTTTTAACAATAAAGTATATTTTAATTAAGGGATGTAAATAGTATTTCTAGACATATCGAGGCTACTGCACACTTAAAAGACTACAGAATACTGTTAAAATTACTTTTATATGCACTGAGAAACTAAAAAAAAAAAGTGTGACAGCTTTATTGCAGTATTGACTTTATTGCAGTGGCCTAGAATCAAACCCTCAATATCTCTGAGGTATTCCTGTAGCTGCAAATAGATAACCACCTGAGAAACTACTATGACTACCCTCTTCAAGCAAAGGCATTAGGCAAACTGTAAGCCTAAGAGGCAGAAAAGCAGGCATCATCAGCCTCTGCCAACAGCCACTGTAAGTAAAAATACAAATAGGTGTGCACCAATCCTTTTGGGCACATTCATGCTCCTGGTCAACATGTACATATAGAGCAAAGTATGCATTCAAGGCTGTATAGGCACATGTATGTCTCTGTGTGTGTTATCAGGGGATTGCAAGTTTATTGCTAAAAATGAAGCCTGGATTAAAATTTGAAACAATGCACAAGCAATATAATTAGGATTCTGCATTTATTTTTGTGATCATAATTAAGTGAGTATTATCAAAGGTAAGTATTAGAGGGAAAATAATTTCCCCAGAAAGCAAAGTTTATGAATACTTGAAAAAACTCTCAAAGCGATCAAAGAATTTGGCATAGTGATTAGATGAAATATGTATAAACCAAATTCTATTCCTTTAAGTTGATGGCCTTTCTTTTCTATTTCAGATATTAGTTTATTTATTCTTTAGCCTGTTCCACACTAACTATTAAAGAGAGTTAAACACTCATAGAGGAGGCCCCAGGATGCCACAGGAATGATCAAGATTCAGCATGCATCAGTCTTTAGGGAAGAAGATGTGTTATAAGAGTCCTGGTATTTCCTTAACCTTCAGGAAGATGAAGGCATATTCCTTCAACAAGGACATACGCTTGGGGCATCTATGAGAAGGAAAGGTCTGCTTCATATAACAAAGCGTCAGAAGATTTCACATCCCCAGTTTTCAATATGATAAATAAGAATGTATAGAGATTGTCAAAAATCTTATCAAGCCCATGGCTATTTTGAAAATGACTTGCTACAATATAAATGAATCTTTGCATTTAAAGGACAGTAAATAGAAAACCAGATGAGGTATCACCGACAAAATACTGTCCCTGTTGATACGGCATCAAGCAAAAAGAACCAGACACAGATGCACACAGCATGTTGTCTGCACTGTGCAGCAGCTCCTCAGTCAAAGCTGGGTTGCAATTACAAGTAAGTATTTCTTCTATGACCCAGCTGCAAGGAGCCTGAGACATTATATTGCAGAAGATGTCTTAGTTAGTTAGGGTAAGTTATTCAGGATTTTCAGAAATCTTAAGAAAGATTACATTTTGTTTTTGCCCGCCCAAATCTCTCCCTGCACTATGCCCACTGCCTCATCAAAACCCAGTGAACTCCTTTTGCTTACTTGGGATAATTTCTAGATTGAATGAAGGGCAGAATTTCGGAGTCTTGACTAGATGGAGGCAGTAGTAAATCTCGAAATCGTTCTGTCAAAAGAAAAGTAAACATCAAGCTGTGAAAAGATAAAAGTCATGAAAATAATTTCAAAATGGAAGTATTTCCTATTGATTTATTTTGTTAGCCATTTTGACTGTATATCCATCCTTTATTAGAAATTTACCCACCATTTTATGTATTAGTAATATATATGTAGTGTATGTATGTGTGTGTGTGTATATGTATATAGATGGATTATAATAATTTAATCATAAATATATATGTAGCCATTAAGAATAGGTATAAATATATAAATAATATATATTCGTGTATATATTTATTTTAAATACATAAAATTAAGCCTGGATTAATATTTGAAATAGTTATATTTATCCTATAAATATACATATATATACATTTCTACATATACATATTTCTCATATATAAATACAAAAATATTTTTTTTTCCTTAATGGTAACATATATCTTTATGATCAAATCTTATCATTGAAAGGTTAGAGAAAATATACATGACCAATAAACATACTAAGAGATGCACAGTCTCATTAGTAACCCGTGCAATGTGAATCAAAACCAGACACCATTAACTAGCATTTACATCATGTAGCATTCAATCGACAGAAATTAGTCTCCCAAGACCAAGTGTTGGAGAGGATGTTGATCAACCTAAGCTCTTATACACTGCTGGTGGGAGTCCAAATTGGTACAATAGCTTTTGAAGACAATTTGGCTTTATCATTTATGTTTTACTTTTGCAAAGTCTGTGGCCCAATATTTCCATTCTCAGGGATACACCCTCAGAAACTTTAACATGTGTCTTAGACAGCAAGTATGAGAATGTTCACAGTAGCACCACTCACAGAACAACATAAATGGAAGCAGCTCAGTTGCTCATTGACATGAGAGAATGGACATTTGTGCTTATTCACAAAATGAAGTACTAACTGAAGTGAAACTGAATGATTTTAGTTACAAATAAAAACCTAATGAATCATATTAATATAATGTTGAGTGAAATAAAATCTCAGCAGATTACATATAACAGAACATAATTTTTATTGAGTTAAAAAAACTAAGCAATGTATTATTTAAGTATGATATATATGAAATAAAGCAAACCAATTAAAAAGGAAGGACATGCACAATTCAGAATAATGATTATTTTTAGGAAAGGTAGGGGGATGAAATAGGAGAGAAGCAAAAGGGTAAATGTAACTAATTGTTGGTGTTTCATATGTATTAATTGTAATATCACAAATGAATAAATGAATAAGTGAATGACAGCCAGGAAAAGACCAATAATGACTGCATATCATGAGCTAAGAACTGATTTAGTAAACTTCAGTGCATATGAATTCATAATGAAGAAAAGAGAGAAAATAGGAGGGGGAGGGGAAGAGGAAGGGAGAAAGAAAAGGGAAAAAAAAGAAGGACAAAGGAAAAAATCCTAGATGTTACCTTGGAAATACTTACATTGCATAGCTATCTGCATGGCATAGAGTATGCACATTTTCAGGAATAGGTATGCATTACCTCTAGAGTCATACCTATGGAAAGGCTTCCTTGATCCCTCCATTACTTTTTTGTTCTCTCCTCCTGCCCAATTTGGAATAGGCTGGACCTACTGTATATTCCCAGCACAACTTGTGCCTCCACTTTCTCAGAGTTTATCACACTATGTTTTATTGTTATATGTATTTATCTCTCTATCCCTCTTTCTTCTTCTAGTATGAGTATTATGCCACCAAGATACAGAACATTATCTGATACATAATTAAGGTGCTGGATAAATATTTGTTGAAGAAATCTTTCCAACATCTATTTTTACTGGAGAAAACTGTTTGTTAAGGTTAATCATAATAACTCCCAGCAGAGACCAAACGGTCATATATCAACCATGAATAGCAAGTGGACCCATACTCCCGTCTTGACACAGTCGCACAGTCAGGATTAGATAGTATGCAAAGCTAACACTCCGCAGCTGCAGTAAATCCTTCACTAACTGAAGGTGAGCATTTCCACAAAATGATGAAAATATACACTTGATGACAATTGCCATTTCCTAGTTTATGAATAGCTAGATGTTAATTATTTGGAATACGGCAGTCACAAAGTGGCCAGTGCTTCCTGAGAAGCAGAATGTATATTTTATCTTCATATTTACTAAAACGTACTGAATCAGAGATACGTAACTGGCTTCTACTGTTTTTTTCTCTTAAAATTCTGACATTTCGTACAATATAGGTGAGGAGGAACTAATGAGATCCAAACACAGATGTGCTTACACTCTTTAGTCTAGAAATCCAAAAAAACACTCTGTGTTTTTCTCTAATTATACTCTTTAATATTAGTTCACATTTTTAAATATTATATTATTGGCTGATATTTGTGCTATTACTCTTTTTAATTTATAAAATTAACATTTCTTTCAATCAAGTGACTAGTAAACTTTCTGATGATAAATAACCCTTGGTTTTCAGTCTACCTGCCAATTTATGGGGTACTCATTAAATGAGTAATGTGTAATGCTCTATCTTTTCAATTTTTTTCCCACTTAGCCTTTTCCTAAAATGAAAAATCAAGCCAAAACCCAACAGCAAACAAGAACTGTACATATCAAGTAAAGAACTGTTAAATCAAACAGCTATATGTGTTATGATATTCCTTGAAAGGTAATAGTATAAATTAAAGTTTAGTGAATTTCTCCCAAACTTGTTAAAAGCAAACAAAAATCAGAATTCTTAGTGCACACAACTATAATATAATACATCCTTTTCACAGCAATAAGTTTTTCTCTTTTTATACAACCATAAAGGACATATGACAATAATTCTGGAGAAAAGAATCTCTGCAGATGATATATTGACAGGACTAAAAACACATACACAGATGCACACGTGTGTGTGCATACACACACACACAGAGCAAAAGCAGCATAAAAGACATCACTTATAAAGCTGTAAGGAAATCTATACCTAATGTTCCTATATTTGGAACATCCTTTAATCAGATTATCATAAATACAAAGAATACCAAGCAAACATATCTTGAATAGCTATCATGGTTGTCAAAAAGAGTTCATAGGCAGGGCATGGTGGCTCACACCCATAATCCCAGCACTTTGGGAGGCTGAGGCGTGTGGATCACCTGAGGTCAGGAGTTTGAGACTAGCCTGACCAACATGGTGAAACCCTGTCTCTACTAAAAATACAAAAAATTAGTCGGGCGTAGTGGTGGGTGCCTGTAATCCCAGCTACTCAGGAGGCTGAGGCAGGAGAATCACTTGAACCCAGGAGGCGGAGGTTGCAGTGAGCCGAGATCCTGCCATTACACTCCATCCTGGGCAAGAAGAGCATAACTTAATCTCAAAAAAAAAAAAAAAAAAAAAAAAAAGAAAAGAAAAGAAAGGTTCATATATACATAAACAGAAAATAAACACAGAACTTCAAAAGCATGTCTTTTAAAAACATTTTATTTTTATCATTATATTAATAAATTCTTAAATGTGAACAATTAATTTTATCTTATAAAGGCATACTGATGATTAATTTATTTCTTTATAAAAATAGATAAATGATAACAATTATCCTTAGAAAAGTTCAAGTAAATGGAAAAATTATTTAGTTCTTTAGTCTCACATATTTTTGCCTATCAGTTATTTAATTAGCATCTTATTGTCTATTTGATTATGAGGAAAAGGCCAAAATAATTTGATGTTTTATTTGTTAAGCAAAAAAAAAAAAAAGATATATTAATGCTACTTCTTTTGCAGCAAAATGTCAAACCAGATGATCTACTTTCTCAGCAGGCTCAAACTGTTTTTTAAGAAAATGGCACAGTTATCCAAATACTACAGCTCAGTCCTTTCACAGGACCTCTTAGAAGAAATTCATTAAAGCCACTGGAAAAAAAAAACAAAGAAACAGGATTTTCTGCAAAGTGATACTGTGATGAGCTGACTAACGATGTGATAATGTCTGAACATGATTTTCTACCAGTAGGAGATATATCTTAATTAACACAAGCTTTTGTAGACTTTCACCCACTCTTTCTTTCTCTCATTCAATCAACAAAAAGATTATGAGGCTCTTAGACCTGGATGACATACTGCACACAATTACATTAATTTGCATTCTCTGGTTAATCAACTGTGACACAATATACTTAATTATTTGAAAACAAAGATGAGAAAATTAAAATACTCTTTCCATTTCTAATTGAAACTTTTTCTACATCTTTTTGTGACAAAGATGTTTCATTTTCTCCTTTGCAGAAAATGACCAATCTCTAATCCACCCCAATATGCAGAATATACCAAATGCAATAAGGATTTACATAACAATAAAAAGCAGTAGGCATTTTTTTTTTTTTTTTTGAGATGGAGTCTTGCTCTGTCACCCTGGATGGAGTGCAGTGGCATGATCTCAGCTCACTGCAACTTAGCAGTATGCAAACCTATTCCTGGATTGAGAAGGAATAGGAATAGGTCTTACCACTACAAAAAAAAGAAAGAAAAAAATATATAAAAAACAAAAGTAACAATGATTAATGCTATTCTTGTATAACCTAAATATCCTTTGCATCTAGAGATGTGATCACTGTCACATAATTTGTTTTTTTAACAGCAACTGAAGAAAGACCTATTGCTTGCTAGAGAGACCCAGACAGATTTTGCCAATTCCAAATCATTGTTTTCCTTCAGGTAATCCCCCTTTCCTAACTTCCTCTCTATAACCTCCTCTATAAAAATGAATATTTTAACTGTTTTGAGTATTAGATTTTTCAGGGTAATAAAAAAAGTCATATAAAATATTTCTAAGGGAGACAGTATTTCCCTAAACCAAAGGTACTTGAACAGAAGTTCTTTGCATTTTTATTAATAGGTTAATTTTTTTATCTTTCTGTTAATGCTCACATTATACAAATTTGCCAGTTTTAATTTTTTTTAAATGGCATCAAAACAAAATCCTTAAAGGACATTAAAGATTAAGACTCTATTAAAGTCTTTACCTTAGTTTTAAGAACACCTAGTATATTGTAACCTATTAATAGTATTAGAAGTTATATTGCAAGGAATCAGACAGTACTTCATACCCCAAAAAGGGTCAATAAGATGAATGCACCATAATATTGATATTATTTCACATTTTTTGGCAATATAGGCTGAGGATTACTTCTTAATGCAGGAAAAATTATGAGAGAGTATACATGAGAAAGGAGATATCAAAGGACAAATATTTCTTCACTCATACAGTCTGCAGTATTTAGCAGCAACAGGTCATAAGAGAAAAGACACTGCTGCCAAGTAGATCTTAAGTATTCTTACCACACACAACAAAGGTAACTATTTGAGGTGATAAATACATTAATTAGCTTGAGTGTGGTAATCACTTCACAATGCATATGTATACCAGAGATATGTATTCCCTGAAAATACATAATTTTACTTGTCAATTATACCTAAATAAAGCAGAAAATAAATTCTCTTGGAAAAAGAAAAAATTAAAAGAAACAACACTCAACTGGTTGTCAGAGAGCCTGAGTTCTTGACCTTAGTCTGCCTCTATTCTTAATTCCTTTTCTGAACTCACAACTGAGTCAGATGAGTTCAGTGATCTTTAAGCCACCTTTTAACTTTGAGTTGCTTAAAAATATTTGCTTATATTCTCAAACTTTGCATCTGACAAAGGACTAGTTTCCAGAATCTACAAAGAATTAAAACAAATCAGCAAAAAAAAAAAAACAAACAAATAATCCCATCAAAAAGTGGACAAAGGACATGAGTAGACATTTCTAAAAAGAAGACATACAACAGCTAACAAACATGAAAAAATGGTCAACATCACTAATAATCAGGGAAATGCAAATTAAAATCACAATGAGATGCTACCTTACTACTGCAAGAATGGCTATAATTAAAAAATCTAAAAACAATAGATGTTGGTATGGATGTGGTAAAAAGGGAACACTTTTACACTGCTGATGGGAATGTAAATTAGTGTAATGACTATGGACAATACATGGAGATTCCTTAAAGAACTTAAAGTAAAACAACCATTCAGTCCAGCAATCTCACTACTAGGTATCTACCCAAAGGAAAAGAAGTCATTACATGAAAAAGACACATGCACATGCATGTTTACAGCAGCACAATTCACAACAATAAAGATATGGAACCAACCTAAGTGCCCATCAACTAACAAGTAGGTAAAGAAAATGTATACATACAACATGGAATACTACTCAGCCATAAAAAGGAACAAAATAATGTCTTTTGCAGCAACTTGGATGGAGCTGGAGGCCATTATTGTAAGTGAAGTAACTCAGGAATGGAAAACTAAATATCCTGTGTTCTCACTCACAAGTGAGAGCTAAGCTAACATTTGAGGACTCAAAGACATAAGAAAGATATAATGAACCTTAAGAACTCCGGAGCAGGAATGTTGGAAGTCGGGTGAGGGATAAAAAACTACATATTGGGTACAGTGTACATTGCTCGGGTGATGTGTGCACTAAATAAAACAAATTATTATCACCAAGGCAGCTCTGTATATTAAGCACACACAAAAAATGCCAGGACAACAAAAGAACTTCAATGCCATTATAGCTACTTGAAAAGAATTTAGAATGTAATTACAAAATTATTTAAAAAGGGAAAGAAGCACATTATTTCTAGGGATTTAAAGAAATTAATGGTTTGTCAAAATTTGGTGTTTATTTTCCTTAGAAATATGCATATTAATCTTAGAAAAACAAATTCCTTCTAAAAAGAAGAATTAAAGGGCAAACTTAGAGTACATCCATACCAACTAGAAAGATATGGAGCATACATCTCCCTACTAAAAAGTTTGTTTAAATCAAGCGAATGTCCTTTATTACCATGGTAACTCAATAATAATGCATGGTAATACAGAGTAATACATGGTAGCTGAATAGTAACAATATTTATAATAGTAACAACAGTTGCTATTTAAACTATTGGTTTCAGATAAACATGAGAGGCTCTCAAATTAGTACTACTTTACATAAACCAGGAAATCAAGTTGCAACTTATTAAAGATATAGGCAGGCCAGGTGTGGTGGCTCATGGCTACATTCCCAATATTTGAAAGCTTGAGGCCAGGGATTTGAGACCAGCCTAAGCAACACAGCAAGACCCTGGCTCTTCAACAAAGTTTAAAAAATTAGCCAGATGTGGTGGTATACACCTGTAGTCCTCGCTACTTGGGAAGCTGAGGCAAGAGGATTGCTCAAGCCCAGGATTTTGAGGCTGCAGTGAGCTATGATTATGCTAATGCACACCAGCCTAGGTGACAGAGTGAGACCCTGTCTCTCTCTCTCTTTCTCTCTCTATGTGTGTGTATATATATATATATATATATGTTTACATACACACATACATATATACACACACATATATATTTGCCTATATATATTACATATGTAGACAAATCTTGTCTCATAAGATTCTAGGATTCAAATGAAAATGATTTATAATTCTAGAAGAAAATAAAATGATTTACAATTCCAGAAGAAAAAACCCTATCAGTTGCATGCTCTGGTTATATAAAACTATCTTTTTTGCAAATATTAAGGCCATGTCAAAGTAATATAAAAAACAGAATTTTATACTGTCTTACATAAGGGAAAAAAAATCCCTAAACCCATACATGTAATTTTCAGAAGATGAGATGTGTGTACAACCAGAGCTAATGAATGAATAAGAACACTAATAGGAAAACAAAATAAGCAACATAAAAATCCTCTACTTGACATGTATTCTCCATAGTATTCCTGTAATATTTTCTGAACTATACCAAAATTTATCTACTATCATTCACACATTATGCGGAATTGAATTATCTGTATCTTAGAATTTATTTCTTTCAAAATAATTATACCACTTTACAGCAATAATGAACTGAGAAATTAGGAAACAACTCCTCAATTTGGTATGTTGTAGACAAGGAAACTAAAAACCAACCAGCTGGCTGATTGTCTCAAGGTCACATGGCTAGAAAGAAGCAAAGATACTTAAAGAAAAGACAAAAACAAAACAAAAACACTCACAGTCCAGGGTTCTTTCCACTGCCATCATACTGCCTTATTCTTTCCTGAGAATATACAGTACTCCCTTTTCTCCCCTCCCACCTTTTACTTTCTTCTGGCCTAAGGATTACAGGATAAGAGAAAGCTTAGCAGGGTCATATGCCATCTGCACGCCTCAACACCTGGTACTTTTAAATACTGTAAGGTCTGAAGGTAGACAATGCAGTATTACACAAAGGAAGATTATTTAATGGATCCTTTTATTTCCAGGGGGAGCAGAGTGATAAAAGTCTATTTCTGTGATACTCATTATTTTGCTTCTTACTTGTTTAACACACTATTTTAAAAAAATCAAAAGCAGTTTTTGAAAGAACTACAGACAGACTTCTTGGCCCCTAAATACATCAATGAATCAATACCTAGGACTGGATTTCTTATAAAATATAAATTCTCTTTTATTGCCACAGAGGCTAAACTATAACAAAAAATGAAAGAGGGTGGGAAAAAAAAACAGTTTCAAAGAAAGTGAAGGCAAATAACAGACATTGTTGGGTAAACACATTATTGTTACTAAGCTTTCTACAATCCACCTTTTAAGAAAAATGTTATATTTTCATTTGTCACATCAAATGCATTGTTTTAAACAATGTTGGCTTTCGTCAAAAGAAACACCTCAGACTGATCAAGACTCAGCTCCATACTAATTCAGTTCCTGGTTTCTGCACAAACTGAATATATCTTAGATGTATATTCAAGAAAAAACAGGCCATTTTATCCAAGAACAAGACCACCCCCCCGCAAAAAAAAAAAACAGGAGATTTTCTTTTATGTTTTATGAAGTTCAAATCTAAAGACCCGAGCAAATAAAATCAATGCCATGCAATATATGGGCCTTTAAAGCCAATAGAAAATAGCCATGTAGTGAGTCTTCTCTGTTCTTAAATAGAAGATGTCTTGGCCGAAGACCAACACTATGCATCAGGGAAAAACAACAAGCAAATACATAAAATGATTAACAAGTGTATCAAGAAAATGAGTACTTAAAAATGTTCCTGATAATAATGATAATGGCACAAAACCCTTGTCCTTTTGCTTCCTTTGAAATTACTTAGTCCATTAACACTAGGCTCATTTGGCAAACTGACATATGCCTTCTTAGCCATTCAGTCAGTACATTATGTGGTGTTTTTGACATTGATTAATAAATTATGTTACCAAGAAAATCCCTCATAATTCTTATTTTCTTCCATGTTACATAGTAAAATCAAGTGGAAAATACTGGATAACAGAGACTCTAAGCAACTTTTAGGAACAGAACAATTCTAATAAAAATATAACAATCCATAAAAAGAAACTGCTTCACCATAATAACTCTACTTCCAGGTCCAGTAATTGTATGATTTGTTTATTTTCAAAACTAAAAAGTTACATTTTGGCCAGGCACAGTAGATCACTCCTGTAGTCACAGCACTTTGGGAGGCCGAGGTGGGCTGATCACTTGAGCCCAGGAGTTTGATTAGCCTGAAGCAACATGGCAAAACCCTGCCTCTACAAAAAATATAAAAATTAGCCAGGCATGGTGGTCTGAGCCTTTGGTCCCAGTTACTCAGGAGGCTGACATGTGAGGATCCATAGATCCTTCCCTAGATCGTGGAAGGTCAAGGCTGCAGTGAGCCATGACCATATCACTGCACTCTAGCCTGGGAGACACAGCAAGACCTGTCTCCAAAAACTGAAAAGAAAAAAACAAAAAGAAGGAACATTGTGAAAATTGGATAGAAAACAAAAATTTGGTATTTACTCCTATATTTGGGTTTGTAAAATGGCTGGAATGAACAAAACTTAATGACTGGTGAATTCTTTATTTACTAAGCAATTTTTATATTTCTGTAGTATTTTAAGTGAGCTGTCACCTACTAAAAAGTGTGACAGCATATAATTAATGTTCATAAAATGAGAAACCAAGGGAAAAAATATTTATCCTCTTTCCTGAGAACGGATGGACACTTAAATTGTAGTACACTTATAATGTGCCTCTCATTTTCCTGATAAAAAAATTTCCTTGATTTCTGAGGCTGTAGAATTTATGCCCAGTTCACATTCATTGAATGATTTATTATATTGTGATAGCAAATAAGCCATATTAAGTTTCATCATTATCTTAAATGATTTCCACATTGACTCACATGAGGCTAGAACTACAGTGTTTCATTATACAAAGCATATATACTTTAAGATACAATAGGTTAATCCTCATCCTGAGACAGATCCATCTAGATATATACACAGGTATGTATATATACACAGGTGTATATACACAGGTATACATCTGTATTTGCCATTCATCTTCTGCTGCTAATCACAAGCCAGATCAGTATAAAATCAATCATTCTCATAGTTCTGGGGAAATGTAGAAACAGGAAGAATTTAGAAATAGGCCCATTTGCTATGTGCCTCTTTTTGTACACTAACTCTCTCCACTTAGTGGTCGCCAATGCCCTCAGTAATTCACAGCAATATGTACCATCGCCAGACCTTTCCTTTGCATCTTCCTAATGACATGATTTTTATGAGGCTAACAGTGATATTGCTCAGTCCTATTTATTTATTTATTTATTTATTGGCTTTTTGCAGCAACCATAGATCACTCCTTTCTCAAAACTCAAAAGATAAAGTCTTCCATTTGCTTGACACTAAAAAATATTTAATGTGATGTATTTGCCTCCAGCCTAGTCTTCTTCCTTTCTATTTGATATAACATTGGCAGGGTGACCCATATAAAGGGCAAATTTGCTTTCAGTTCCTGTTTAAAACTCCTCAGTATTTCACCAGCATCTTTTGGGAAAAGACCAAGTTTCATAGCAAGATCTACAAGCTCTTCCTTGGCCTAATATTTGGATGCCACCCCAGCCAGGCCTCCCAATAGCATGACATTTTCCTGACATTCCAAGCTAGTTCACCCTTCTGAGCCATTCAAGCTATTTTTTCTCCCTGGAATAATCCCCCACTCTAGGCAAGTTCTATATATCTCTAACACTCAGTTTGACCCAGAAAGCCTCCCAAGTTTTCTTCCCAGCAACTTGTATGTCTTCCATTTGCTCCTGGAACTATATCCTAAATCTCTCCAGCAATATAAAACTTCCTCTCTCCACTTCATTCTCATCATTCAAATAAGTGTATAAATATATTTTAGCATAATTAGTATATTGTTATAATTATTATAAAATAATCATATATCTTTAACTTATATCTTCTTCGTCCTTATTTCCTCCTTTCACCTGCTGACTTATTTCTTTATTTCACTTTACATACAAACTTCTTAGAATTTGTCCAGTGGTATTCTGACAAATGTTTAATAGCCAGGTCTAATGATAGATAAATACATAAGACCTACTTTATGGTTGTCTTTGTTAGAGAGCTGCTATAACAAAATACCACAAATTAGTTAATTTATAAACAACAGAAATTTATTTATCACAGTTCTAAAGGCTGGGAAGTACAAGATCAAGGCACCAGCAGCTTTGATGCCTGGTAAAGTCTGCTCCCTGCTTCTAAGATGGTGCCTTACTGCTGTGTCCTTACATAACAGAAGAGCAAAAGAGCAAAGGGGGAGGAACACACATGGTGGAAGAGCAGAAGAGAGTCAATCAACTCCCTCAAGCCCTTTCACAAGGCACTAATCTAATCCATGAGGGCTTTATTCTCATGATTTAATCATCTCCTAAAAGTCTTACCTCTTAGTATTATCATATTGGTGATTAAATTTCAACATATGAATTACAGGGGACACATTCACACCATGGGAATGATGTTGGTCAATTTCTGTGGAATAACTACTACCACTGTGAGTGATGGGAAGCTATCAGACATGACCTCACTGACTATGGAGGTGGGAAGAGAAGCACATTCTCTCAAGCCCTAGGAGGTAACCCAAACATACTGCCAGATTTGTCTATACTTACCAACTCCACATCCTCTCTTACTTTAGTGTCTCTTAAACTTTTTAAAGATATATTTTTATAGATATAAAATACTCTCTTACTCTTATTATCTCTTAAACTTTTTTAAGATATATATTTTTAAAATATCTCATTTATGGAGCTATTTTAAACCTGTTCTTTAGTTCTTGTACGCTGCAAATGCAATTCCCCTATATATTTCTCCTCTTTATTCGGGGCTCTGTTCAGAGAGCTTTTCTAACCTTGTGTAACAGTGCAGATCCAGGCAGAAACACGACTGCATAAGTTAAGTGGAAGAAATTCATTAGAGGGAACTAATGACTCAGGTGAGGGAAGAAGTGAGAAGCCAAATTGAGGATGGTGAAAAAATACAAAGAGTGGAAGAAAATTACTACCATCCACATGGGCTGGTAGGACATAGGGTATAGGTGAGGCTACTACAATCTATAAACCATGGCTAAATGGCAGGAGATAGAGTCACACCAAAACATCTCCAAAAAAATGATAAACTCCCCATGGACCAAAACACAATCTCTATAACAGCGGAGACTTTGTCACTTTTGTTCAATGCTGTATCTCCAGTGACTAATAAACAGTCTGGAACACAGTAGCTGTTTAACATACATTTGATTATTAGCCAAAGTTAATAGTTTCAATATTATCTTCCACAAATGACTAATCATTGTAATTCACTAGTCATGGCAAGAGTAACAACAAAAAGAGTACTTCCAGGCACTCCTTTGGGTATACAGCAGTTGATAATGAATATTTGTTGTAAGCTTAAAGTTTACATTGTATGAATATGAATTATGTAAAATCTGTGAGATTCCATATATCCAAATATGATTTATTTATTTATTTATTTATTTATTTATTTATTGGCTTCTTGCAGCAACCAAAAGCCATTCACAGTGATATCTAGTGCAAGGTGGTTGATGTAATTGGCCTAAAATATGTTGTCATAATAAAGTAATAACATTAATATAAATTAGTGTGGTTATAATCTGACTTTAAAGGAGTTTCCAAAAATGAAAAGAAAAATACTTTAAACAAGTAACACATGTTCTGTTTAAATCTTTTCATGAAAAATCTGAATAAAGCCTATAACACGACTGGCTCCTACAGTGATATAGAAACAAATAAGAGAGTTATCGACTCTTTTGTGGCCCAGTCCTTAACTAACCCTATATTTAAGATTACTTGCACTGTGAGAAGTCAATATATTATGTGACTGAGGCAAATCCACAATAATATATGGCCCTGTCTTCTCATTTTTAATCCTAAAAGATAACCATATCTTCTCACTGTAGAAAACTTTTCCAGTAGACAACAGGGGAATTTATACCCAAGATTCATAGAAACATCATGTGATACATGCTACAAGTCCTTTATTGAATATTTACTCACAATTATTGCTAATTCATTAACTGCTGAAGGGATCAATGGCAGAAAGTTTACATTAATTACATGTGGATGTTATGTATTTAATTCTGTTGTAGCACAACACAAACACCTGTGGAATAAGTGGCTATTTAGACCACCAAAATAAGCAAGGGTATAGCATTATCTCAGACATTAATCAATACTAATCATATGTAACGAAGAAATTAACAAAACATTTTTGTACACTTAAAATGATAATCAAGTCAATAATCTCTGACCATACATTTGAAACTGGAAAGAATGACTGCTTCTAGAAGAGCAATAAGGTATTCATTCGATTAAAAGAGAAATCTACTTGGGTAATCCACTCCATCTACTGTACTACCATCATTTCAAGAAAAAACGCTGAATCATGTCTAAAATGTTTTAAGGGTCTTCTAAACTTTAACAGGTCTTCCACGTATTTAGGAGATGCAATTAGAGGTCAGGTGAAAATGAAAATCTAGACAACAAATATGAGACTTGGTACTTCTTTGTCTTGTGTTGCATAGCTTCTTCCCTTGCTCCTCCAGCACTCTATAGCTAGGTATAGTTGATTAGTCTTGGAGAGATCATTTATGGAGCTATTTTAAACCTGCTCTTTAGTCCCTGTATGCTGCCAATGCAGAACATATTTCAGCAAGTAAAAAGTCATATTAAATATCTCTAAGTCAGTTTAAAAAAATAAACCTTTGATATTCAACCTCTTAGGTATCTCTTTGGTATTTCCTATACCTACTGCTCTTAATACCGAGTTTTAATCAATTCTTTTAGAATAAAAACCAATGATTCTTGATTTCGAAGGTAATGCTCCTACTTTTCCTTCAATAGTTGTAATCTCATTGTTGTAAGGCAGCTAAATCTCTTTGAACTAAAGTGTCAGATAATGACATGACTATTTAGGTGTTCTCCGCATGACTGCTTATATTTTTTTCCAAGTCAACAAATATTTCAAGTCAACAACAAAGAAGGTCTATTAATTGGAACGCATCTGACTGGAACTGAACTCTCTGAATAGAATGATCTTGTTTCTCTCAGTGGCATAGTACATTAAAAAGGGAGAATAAAATTAACACTATTAAGTGTTCCTAATAGAGATGATTAAAATAGTAAGACATCATTTATTTTAATGAGCTACTGGTAATAGAAAATAACTTTGTGAAAAAACTCGGTAACAATAGCTAATAATAAACCATCAGGAGTTTCTGCTTAATCTTATGAATTAAATTATGTTTTCATTGTATGTTTTCTTTCAGATATAGAATTCTATCAATTTACCATTCATGACTGAATTTAATTCCTACTATATTGGGATTCTCACCAGAAAAGAACTTTCCTTATTCTTTATTTCCAAAACAGTAGAAAAAAAAAAAACAACACTGTGACAGTATCAACTTATATTGGGCATATTGTGATTATTCATATGTTCATACTCCACCAGTGTATATCTATCAGAAGACGACCATGATCTCTTTTCAATGCTACCATCTGAAAATTATCCATGTAAGCCTGGTTTTTCATGACTCTGAATGAGTTATTACTGCTCAAAGATCTTTTTAATTCACTTAGATGTTTGCCCATTAAATCCTATGTTGCAGATTTCCTTCCTTTTATTTAAGTCTCCAATTCCAAGCTGGCTACCCTTTCTAAAGACATTACATTTTATACATACCATTATTATTTTTTTTAACTCTATGAAATAACCTCCTTATATAAACTATTGTTCTCCTCATTTCAAAACACATCTTTCTTATTATCCAACATCTTATCCTTCCCTGGTTTTTACAGAAATTAGATTCTTCCTTCTAATGCTACCTTCTTAACTTGTGTTCACAAATCCATTACTTCCAATTTCCACCCTCACCCCTCCTCTGCCTCCTTCCCCTCTGCCTTTAAGTACCTTCAAGTCTTCCTTTGATTTTAATCTGTCCAACTAGCAACTTAATTAATACCATTTTCATCATAGTTCTTCAAATGCTTCAAAAATTCCCTAAATTCCCTTGGTTACTCTAATATTTTGCTGAGGCATTCATAATCTTCACCAAGCTGGCCCTAAATGGCTTTTCTATGCTACTACCCAGAACAAAATCTTTGCTTTTGTTTGATTGACTTTGTCTTTTGTTTCATTTTGTTGGATTGACTTTGCTTTTATTTAATTGATTAAAGACTGATTGGATTCATCCTTTCCAAAGAGAGTTAATCATTGCCTTTCCAGATTTTTGGCAACACTGTGACTTTCACTTAAATTACCTCCATCTTTCTTCATTTGCCTGACTTCTAAGCTTCAGTTCAAATTCTGTCTTTTCTGTGGAGCTTCTCTTACAGCCCTAGACCACATTTAATCTACATTTTTCTGGTTCCCTACAGATTTTACTTACCAACTCGTTGTTTAGCACCTAAGTATAAGAATATTTAAATTTACTTTTGCATTCATGTTTATATCTGCATTCTTTCCTAACAACATAACCAACCAACTAACAAGCCAACATTTACTGAGTACTCACTTGTCAGTTATTCTGGCGGGTCAAGGAAATATTAATATAAGAGTGAATAATGTTTCTTTTATTTACTCAAAGCTCTTACTACAATGCATCTCTCAGGTAATAAAAAGTATTTACCAACAGGCCTGCTGTTAAAAGTATCTATTCCAAAGTTACTGTGAAGTTGCTCTATATACTGGAACACCACAAAAAATGTCATGCAAGAACTGGAAGATTTGTGTGATCTCAATATCAGGTGTTGATTATTTTGACTCATGTTTTCTAAGAAACACATTTCAGCATTCCCACTATTGCCAGCACACCTGACAAGTAGGTAGAAACCTATGATTTGCAAGCACACTGAACAATATATTATTAATAATTACTGATATCAAAGGTATTCTGATTGCAAAAATGCAACTTAAAAGAGAAAACATAGATGTCAAAACTGTACAAGCAAAAAAAAAAAAAACCAGAACAGCTTGAAACACATACACATCTCTATACATACTGGTAGTTATATTAAAACACATTCAAATTATTACATTCCACTATTTTCAAAGAATGTATCTTAAAACTGTATGTTCTACATACCTGTCCAGTCTTCTACTATTTTAAGATGAACCCCAAATGTTGCTTTGGTTTCAGTTGGACACTAAAAAAAATACTAGAATCAATTGTGATTAATAATTACATAATATGAAAGTATAATTCAATTATAACTTTTACCCTGATAGCAAGTCCCCCATATCAATAGATAACAGGAAGGAACAGACTAAAATCTATATAGATCCTTATTAGTGGAAGAAAAAAAATCAATGTCAACAGGTCAATAAGACAATCTACATTTCTCTAAAACCCAAAAATACTTATATAAAACAATAAATTACACACGTTAAAATTGCTAGTGTATTTCATTTAACTACAAGTCTTGCTAAAACTTCTTATAAGTTAAAATATATATAAGAAAAGCCAGTTTTTAATCACAAAGGAAGAAACAAAAACTAATGCTTTTTTGTGTCATTTTCTCCCTAGATAATATATACTTACCCTAACAAATTCCAGGGAGAAAAAAATTCTTAATGTGACATTAATTTTCCATGCCCAACAATTATGCTCCTACAGAAATAACTCTATTTCATTCCCTCCCTTAATTCTCAGAAGACATCTGGAGTGGTGAGGGTACCTGGGGAAAGGGATGAGTTGTGGAAGTGTAGGTAAAAAAAAGTGCTTATGGTCCCATATTTAGGAAACCTAGAAAACATCCAGGTAGTCAAAATGAAAGAATAAAGTTTAGTTTCCAATAAGAAAAATGAAAAATTTCTTCTTGTTTTCTGGATTCCTAGTCACTTATCCTCAATTCCAAAATTTGAATAATGGTTTTTTCATAACTCATTTGGTAACAATACCTGACTTGAATTAATGGGAGGCTAATATTTCTGTGTAAAAATTCACACATAAGCATTGTCCTACAGAATTATCAACTTGTTTGAGATGCTGACTAACATCCTGTTGGATATATTAAGTACGATATGAAATATGCATACCTTTTAAAGTCCATGAATTCTGAATTCTAAAAATGCATCTAAACTAAGGGCTATGGGTAAGGGACCATCTGCCTGTGACTACCCAGCTTTTATCAAGTACCATGTGTCACGGGAAGTGTTAAGTGATTTATTTTCAAAATCTACAATAACTTTACAGAGTTGTCTTTTACAGATAAGAAAATTGAGTAATTAAGGCTTAAAATATTGACTTGCCCAATAAAAAGACAAGACAAAATTTGAATCCAGGTCTCTTAATTCTTAATTATTGCAGGTCACTGTCTCTATTAAAACAAAGATACATAAAATGGGTGAGAGTTGCATAAGAAATCAAATGAAATAGGAGGAAAAAAGGCATGTGTTGATCATTAGTAGAATTGGTATGCCACAATATTAATTAAAATGAAATGGAGGCGGGGCCTGAAGTTATGGCACAGGTGAAAGAAAACGGCAGTGGAAGGGCCCTGTGATTAGTGATTGGTTTACATAAAGCAAGTCCAAGACTTCAGAGCTCACTGTGTTGACTAGTTAATGTAGGTCTTGTAGGAATGCTATAAGGAGAGAAATAAATGAAGATAAAGGTACCATATCTTATGTTAACAACTCATTAGGCAAAAAGGAAAGGTAGCCTGAAAAATCAGTGGAAACACTAAATATAAAGGTAGGTATTTGTCACTGATTCATAATAAACTATGAACAAACTAAAAGCACATAATCTATGTCCAAGGTTTGGAATTAATGTACCATGGAATGTCCAAGCTACTACTTTACAATCAGTGTTTCTTATAGGATTATTACTGCTAACAGTAGTATAAAATATTAAAAATGAAATATTTTTAAATAACATTGTTTAAACATTTGTATTATTAAAATTATTTTATTTTATTTATAAGTGTGATTCTGTACTTAATTGTTTTATTTACATTGTAACTTTTGTTGTTGTTGTTGTTGTTGTTGTTGAGAGTTGAGTCTCACTCTGTCACCCAGGCCGGAGTGCAGTGGCGCGATCTTGGCTCACTGCAACCTCTGCCTCCCGGGATCAAGCGATTCTCCTGCTTCAGCTTCCCAAGCAGCTGGGATTACAGGCGTGTGCCACCATGCCCAGCTATTTTTCTTGTGTTTTTAGTAGAGTTTGGGTTTCACAATGTTGCCCAGGCTGGTCTCAAACTCTTGGCCTCATATGATCCATCCACCTCACCCTCCCAAACTGCTGAGATTGCAGGCATGAGCTACCACACCCAGCCCATACTGTGATTTTTAATAACTCTGAAAGCAAAAAACAGTTTTGTCATCAGTAAATCTCCAAATAAAATATTATCTGCAAAAACCACCCACGATTTAACTATATACTACAGAAGGCTGACCAGAGTCTCTGTATAATAAAAGTTGTAGCTCTCAGAATGCAAGATACCCAACAGAGATCTGAGCTACCAATCTGATTGTCCACATATCACTGGATGTCCTTCACTGTGAACTAGATCTCAGGTTATGAAAAGATGACCTATAGCCAAGAAGATATCAGAATGGAAGGCAAAGAATGTTTGTCCTTGTGTGCCTGAGGGTACATGTGGCTTGAGTTAATCTCATAATGCATTCTAAAATAAAATGCATATTTTGCCAAATATTCATATCTCTATTGAATTCTTTCAAAGCAGATACTGTAAAAGGTAATTACACACAGTGTTTAATATCTCATTGGGTCTCATAGGAAACTGTAAACTTCTCTCTTCTAAGTATCAGTCCAAGGTATCAATATATCTTCGAATGCTAGTCTGGTTTTGAATGGATAAAACAAAATATTGTTTCTCTCAACCTCTTGGAAATGAGGTCTTTAGAAGTCACTGATATTTCTCCAAACTAAGACAGACTTTAACAGTCTTTAAGCATGTAACCTCATATTTTCAAGGAGGCTTCACAGAATAACATAAAGAATTAATTCAGTATATGTGGTTTGAAAACGTGAATGAAGATCTTAGAATCACATTTTAGTATCTTTGCATAAAAAGTATCCAGATTCATTAATATTGTCTAGATCACATTGTGGTGATTCATTGTTTTCTCACTGTCTTTTTCTTTTAGAAAACATCTCAAAGGGAAGAAATAATACAAGTATTGATATCTATAGCTCTATCGTTCCTCCTAAAACATGAATTAAAAGATATGCTTATGGCAATTTTTCAGTTGAAAGAGTTACAGTATAATATATGTAGTTAAGCACATATTAATATTAAAATAAAAACATGGCTGGGTGCGGTGGCTCACGCCTGTAATCCTAGCATTTTGGGAGGCCGGGGCAGGTAGATCACAAGGTCATGAGTTCAAGACCAGCCTGTTCAAGATGGTGAAACCCTGCCTCTACTAAAAATACAAAAAATTAGCCAGGTGTGGTGGCAGGTGCCTGGGGTCCCAGATACTCAGGAGGCTGAGGCAGGAGAATGGCATGAACCCAGGAGGTGGAGGTTGCAGTGAGCTGAGATCACGCCACTGCACTCCAGCCTGGGGGACAGAGCGAGACTCCATCTCAAAAAATTTAAAAAAAAATACAAAAATTAGCTGGGCATGGTGGTAGGTGCGTGTAATCCCAGCTACTTGGGAGGCTGAAGCAGGAGAATCGCTTGAACTCAGGCGGCAGAGGTTGCAGTGAGCTGAGAACGCACCACTGCTGTCCAGTCTGGGCGACAGAATGAGATTCTGTTTCAAAATAAATAAATAAATATGCACATAAAAAATAAAATGACAGATATTTGTGCTTTTTTTCTCATTAAAGAGATTATAAAATCAAATTTCAGGAACACTAACTTGGGAAGTATAATTGAGGACAGAGAAAACAAGAACTCTTATAATCATTTCCTACACTTCTATGCTTTAAAATTTATCACAAGCATTTGCTATGATATAATTTTAAGTATTTTGAAATTTTAATTTACCTGTGAACATTAAAATGTTGCTGAATCTATCCAGTTTCTTTGACATAAAAATAAAGTTTGGATCATGTCGACCTTAATATAAATTCTGGAATACTCATTCACTTAATTCTAAGGATAAGAAAAATAAAAAGTGACAATTTGACCATAACAACAGATCTAGAGAAATATGTATTTTAATATCCTGGAGAAAATATAACCTTTACCTTCCAATTATTTCTTCAATATGGCATTGGGTTTTTAATGTGCACAAATGACTAATAATTTTATAACAGTCCCACAAAATGTAAAAAGATATTTGTAACTTGTCATATGTTTGGGAATTAAATGTAAAAATGATGTAACTGCACATTATTTTTGAATAAATATGAATTTATTCAATATAAAAAATTACAAGCTGCATTTTTTTGTTTGTAAAGAAGTGCCTTTTAATAAAAATTAAAAATGATTCCAAAATAGCAACTTTTCAATAACTAAAAGTGTTAAACCTGAGAAAGTGATCACATAATATGATGTTCTTTAATCATTTTTGTTAAGTCTTTATTTTAACACTTTCTTCCCAAGTTCTTAGTTTCATATTTTCTACTGTGTGTTAGACATTTATACCTGAAATTCACTCTAAATTTACTGTATCTAAAATTACTATTATCCTATTAATACTTCCAAAACTATCTTCTCCTAATTCCCATATATCTGGAAATAGAACCTACATCCTTCTCAGAGACTCAAATCTCTCTGATACCACTTATTTGTCCTGCCAGCATTCAATCACCTTTCATTTCTTTCCAACAGGCTTCCCAAAGAAAATGTCTGATTACAGCAATCTCCTATTGATTAACCTTTTGTGTCCCCCTGTGAAAAAACACCCATATTCTTTCTGTCCTATTGCCTATGGCCAAGCACATCTGTTTCAAATTCTTTCTGGCTTTATATTCCATGTTTCTCCTTTTTTTACTCTAATCGAGCTAAACGAATACTTACCAACTAATACATTTTCTCATCCCTTTATCTTCACACATGCTAGCCTACTCATTTAGAGTGACTTTTTTTCCATTTCTTAGGTTGAATCCCTGTAACTGTTCAAGGCTTATCTTAAAGCCATCATTTCATAAAGATATCCTGATTTTTCTTGCCAAGAAAATTCTCACTCCCCTGAACCCTTAAATTATTAGTATGACTCTTATGCTCCTTATTACAGTCTAGCTCTTTATTTTTACATGATTTTTCTGTATTAATAAACTGTAAATGTCTTGAGATCAAGAACTATTTCTAAATCATTATTATATATTCCACAGCACCTTACACATAGAAGGTATCAGTTGAATGAATCCTATAATATCAATTGAATAGTAAATATTGGAAGAAAAAATAGGAGGATTAACCTGAGAATGAATAAAAACGTCAAAGGTGGGCAGCTCTTCGAGAATTTATTTATTCACTCAAGAAATATTTATTTAGTGTCCAAAATACTCCAGAGACTATTATGCTAGGAGCTCATGCAATTTCACAAGTGAAGATTGTTCTAAATGTCTGAGAGGAGATAACGCGGAGCACCGAATCTTCCACAATTAAGGCAACACCATGACAGTAAACATTTTGACAAATTAAAACTTTAATACCTTTGCATTTATATGAAAGAAAAAAGTGTTTAATTGTATATTTGAATGAAAAATATATTCAATATTAAAAAGAAAGATTCTGGAAGAATATGCAAGTGGAATTTTTATTAACTTGGATTGAACATGTGCATTTATCTCAGGTCCCTTAGGCAAACAGAATACTAAAATAACAATTTAGAGATATAAAAATAGATGCCACAACGGCAAAAATAACATGTGGAGTGATAAGAACAATAAAGAGATGTCAACACATTTTTGAAAAGTGACAAGTGGATGAGGTAGCCGTTTAGGAACGAACTAAACAAAACATATGAAGCCAAAGTCTCATTGCCTTCAAACAGAGATTACCTTGAGAAGTAAGCCCATCTTTTGATCACAACACTGGAAAAACCCAGGTCTCAGTGTAATAGGAGGAAGTTAGAGTTCGGGCTCATCATTAAAAAAAAAAAATTTGTTTGTGTCTGTATATGGGCTAATTTTATCCCCAGATTCACTTTGCTCTGATCACCAGCCATGTAACTACTACTCCACAAACCCAAAGACAAGGACAGGTGAAACACAAAGGCTCTATGTATAGAAATAACTGGTCGTGGAAGGCAGGGCTGAGATGCCAGTCATTTGCTCAATAAATATTTCATGAAAGCACTCTAAGTGCCATCTCAAAATAACACTTCCTAAGTGGAGTTGCACAAATTTCCATCAGAACCTCCTCTCCAACCCCATCCTTCCCTATCTCAGTTAATGAAATTCCAGTTGCTCGGATCAAAAACTCTGGGGTCAGCCTTGACTTCACTTCCTTTCACATTACATATACAATCCATGGAATACATTTTGTTAACTCTAACTTTAAAATATATTCAGAATATGACCACTTCTCACCACTTCCACTATCACCACCCTGGTCAAAATCATCATCATACCTCAACTGGATGACTGCAACAGCTCCTAACTGGACCCCCTGTTTCTGCACTTGCTTCCCCTCATCTACTCTTAACACAGCAGCCAGAGTGATCCTGTTGAAAAGTAAGCCATATCATGTCATTTCTCCATTCACACTCTCCCACAACTCCTTTATCAATCAAAGTAAAAGCCAAAGGCCTAAATGTTCTGGATATATGAGCCTGAATTACAGAGTTAAAATCTGGGCTAGGAATATAAACTTGGGACATGAAGCATATGGATGCATCAATAAGATGAGAGAGACTACCAGAGAAATGTGTACAGCTAGAGAGGAAGAGAGGTTGAAGAAATGAACACTGGTATGTTGTAATACTTAGAGCTTGTGGGGATGATAAGGAACAACAAAAATAGACTGAGTAAAAATAGCCAGAAAATGTGGAGAAAAACAGATAAGTGGAAAAAAATGTTTCAGTAAAGTGAATGATCAGCTGTATTAAGAGCTGCTCACTGGTCAAACCCAATGAAGAGTGAGAAGTGAACAATAACATGGTCACTGCTGAACCTGGACATTTTTAGTAGTGTGCTGTGGGCAAAAGATGGTTGATTTAAGAGAATGAGAGGAAAGGAACTGGATTGCTGAGAGAGGGAGCAGTAGCTAGAAGGGATGTGAGTCAGGAAAGAAACTTTCATTGATCATTTCCTTTTGGTACTTAGGTAAAAAGAGGTACCCAAAAATAAGGATTGAATAAATTAAGCTCAGTATTCAATAGATTTACTCTAAATACACTAACCGTCTAAAGTTCATACTTATCATGCAGACTTTCATTAGACACTAAGGGAATATTTTTGTTTCCCTTGGAAAGAAGCCAAACTAGAGCAGTTAGATGATGTTTACATCTCAAGAAACTCAGATGTCCTATTAACTTTTCATGAACATTAATCATCTTCTCAGGAAATTTTCACCACTTTGCTTCATCTATGGTTAAGATAACATTGTCACCATGCTAACCTATCATGTATCCCAGCTGATTTTTGACAAGCAATAAAATTACGAAAACATAAAGCAAAACAATTTTTAAGACTTAAATAGTTGAGAGCAAGACCAGAGATCAAAACTGCTGCAGACGTCCTGGTTTCATTTAAACCCACTAAATTAAATAAACAATAGCAATAAAATGTTGCCAGTCTTTGTGAGATCCATAGCCATTCTTGCCTGGTTTTCATTGAAAACTGGAAAAACTATTCCTGGAAAAACTCTTCCCATAGTGACTGGTTAAAAGATTAAAAACACAAAGTAGAAAAATGATGGCTAGTGCAGGCATGCTATGTAAAAGTACAGACAATAACTAACAGCTAGACATGCCTCTGACTTACGGAAAAATATGTGAAATCAGGTTATTCAAGCTGAAAAACAATGAATCACACAACTTAGAATACAGATGTCAGGAAAACATGTTTGTGTCAGGCCTCTGAGCCCAAGCCTGCACGTTAATGTCAGGCCTCTGAGCCCAAGCTTGCACGTATACATCCAGATGGCCTGAAGTAACTGAAGAGTCACAAAAGAAGAGCAAATAGCCAGTTCCTGCCTTTGATGACATTACCTTGTGAAATTCCTTCTCCTGGCTCAAAAGCTCCCCCACTGAGCACCTTGTGACCCCCATCCCTGCCTGCCAGAGAACAACCCCCTTTGACTGTAATTTTCCATTACCTACCCAAATCCTATAAAATGGACCCAAACCTATCTCCCTTCCTTGACTCTCTTTTCAGACTCAGCCCATCTGCACCCAGGTGATTAAAAAGCTTTATTGCTTAGCTTAAGCAAAGCCTGTTTGGTGGTCTCTTCACGCTGACGTGAGTGAAACTTGGTGCTGTGATTCGGATCGGGGGACCTCCCTTGGGAGATCAATCCCCTGTCCTCCTGCTCTTTGCTCCATGAGAAAGATTCATCTACAACCTCTGGTCCTCAGACCAACAAGCCCAAGGAACATCACCAATTTTAAATCGGGTAAGCAGGCTCTTTTTACTGTTCTCCAGCCTCTCTCACTATCCCTCAACCTCTTTCTCCTTTCAATCTTGGTGCCACCCTTGAATCTCTCCCTTCGCTTAATTTCAGTTCCTTTCCTTTTCTGGTAGAGACAGAAGAGATGCATTTTATCTGTGAACCCAAAACTCTGGCACCAGTCATGGACTCGGGAAGACAGTTTTCCTTTGGTGTTTAATCACTGTGGGGACACCTGCCTGATTATTCACCCACGTTTCAGAGGTGTCTGATCACCACAGGGATGCCTGCCTTGATCCTTCACCTTAGTGGCAAGTACCACTTTCCTGGGGGGGGGGGCATGTACCCCCACCCCTTCTCTCCGTGTCCCTACCCTTTCTTTTCTCTGGGCTTGCCTTCTTCACTATAGGCAACCTTCCACCCATCATTCCTCCTTCTTCTCCCTTGGCCTGTGTTCCAAGAACTTAAAGCCTCTTCAACTCACAACTGACCTAAAACCTAAATGCCTTATTTTCTTCTGCAATGCCACTTGACCCCAATACAAACTCGACAATAGCTCCAAATAGCCAGAAAACACTTTCAATTTCTCCATTGTACAAGATCTAGATAATTCTTGTCGTAAAATGGGCAAATGGTCTGAGGTGCCTGACATCCAGGCATTCTTTTACACATTGGTCCCTCCCTAGTCTCTGTTCCCAATGTGACTCGTCCCAAATCCTTCCTTCCCTCCCACCTGTCCCCTCAGTCCCAACCCCAAGCGTCGCTGAGTCTTTTCACTCTTCCTTTTCTACTGACCCATCTGACCTCTCCCCTCCTCCCAAGACTGCTCCTCCTCAGGTCACTCCCTGCCAGGCTGAATCAGGCTCCAATTCTTCCTCAGACTCCACTCCCCCACCCTATAATTCTTCTATCATTTCCCCTCCTCACACCCAGTCCAGCTTACAGTTTCGTTCCGTGACTAGCCCTCCCCCACCTGCCCAATAATTTCCTCTTAAAGAGGTGACTGTAGCTAAAGGCATAGTCAAGGTTAATGCTCCTTTTTCTTTATCCAACCTCTCCCAAATCAGTTAGCGTTTAGGCTCTTTTTCATCAAATATAAAAACCCAGCCCAGTTCATGGCCCATTTGGCCACAATGCTTAGACCCTTTACTGCCCTAGTCCCAGAGGGGCCTGAAGGCCATCTTATTCTCAATATGCATTTTATCACCCAGTCAGCTCCTGACTTAAAAAAAAGCTTCAAAAATTAGAATTGGGCCCTCAAACCCCACAATAGGAATTAATCAACCTCGCCTTCAAGATGTACAATAACAGAGGAGTTGCAATTACTTGCCTTTGCTGTAAGAGAAACCCCAGCCACATCTGCAGCACACAAGAACTTCAAAACGTCTAAGCCACAGTGGTCTGGCATTCCTTAAGGACCTCCTCCCTCAGGATCTTGCTTCAAGTGCCGGAAATTTGGCCACTGGGCCAAGGAATGCCTGCAGCCCAGGATTCCTCCTAAGCCATGTCCCATCTGTGCAGGACCCCATTGGAAATTGAACTGTCCAACTCACCCGGCAGCTACACCCAGAGCCCCTGGAACTCTGGCCCAAGGCTCTCTGACTGACTCCTTCCCAGGTCTTCTCGGCTTAGTGGCTGAAGACTGACGCTGCCCGATCGCCTCTGAAGCCTTCTGGACCATCACAGACACTTTGGGTAACTCTTAGAGTGGAAAGTAAATCCATCCCCTTCTTCATCAATACGGAGTCTACCCACTCCACATTACCTTCTTTTCAAGGGCATGTTTCCCTTGCCTCCATAACTGTTGTGTGTATTGACGGCCAGGCTTCTAAACCTCTTAAAACTCCCCAACTCTGATGCCAACTTGGACAACATTCTTTTATG
The DNA here is from genome assembly GCF_000001405.40 of Homo sapiens. NCBI lineage: Eukaryota > Metazoa > Chordata > Mammalia > Primates > Hominidae > Homo > Homo sapiens. Next base: position 49,324,450 of record NC_000011.10, on the reverse strand, counting down.
CACTCCTTTTAAGTTATCCCCACCTGCCCAGCTCCCTTATTAGGATGAGACATTTTAACTAAATTGTCTGCTTCCCTGACTATTCCTAGGCTATAGCCACACCTCATTGCCACCCTCTTCTCCAGTTCAAAGCCTCCTTTACATCCTTCCCTTGTATCTCCCCAACTTAATCCACAAGTATAGGATACCTCTACTCCCTCCTTGACGACTGATCATGCACCCCTTACCATCCCATTAAAACCTAATCACCTTTAACCCGCTCAACACCAATATCCCATCTCACAGCAGGCTTTAAAAGGATTAAGGCCTGTAATCACTCGCCTGTTACAGCATGGCCTTTTAAAACCTATAAACTCTCCTTACAATTCCCCATTTTACCTGTCCAAAAACCAGACAAGTCTTACAAGTTAGCTCAGGATCTGTGCCTTATCAGCCAAATTGTTTTGCCTATCCACCCCATGGTGCCAAATCCATATACTCTCCTATCCGCAATACCTCCCTCCACAACCCCTCTACAACCCATTATTCTGTTCTGGATCTCAAACATGCTTTCTTTACTATTCCTTTGCACCCTTCATCCCAGCCTCTCTTTGTTTTCACTTGGACTGACCCTGACACCCATCAGGCTCAGCAAATTACCTGGGCTGTACTGCCACAAGGCTTCACGGACAGCCCCCATTACTTCAGTCAAGCCCAAATTTCCTCCTCATCCATTACCTATCTCAGCATAATTCTTCATGAAAACACACATGCTCTCCCAGCTGATCATGTCTAGCTAATCTCCCAAACCCCAACCCCTTCTACGAAACAACAACTCCTTTCCTTCCTAGGCATGGTTAGCTACTTCCGCCTTTGGATACCTACTTTTACCATCCTGACTAAACCATTATATAAACTCACCAAAGCAAATCTAGGTGACCCCATAGATCCTAAATCCTTTCCCCACTCCCCTTTCCATTCCTTAAAAAACAGCCCTAAAGCTGCTCCCACACTAGCTCTCCCTAACTCATCCCAACCATTTTTCGTTACACACAGCCAAAGTACAGGGCTGTGCAGTCACAATTCTTACACAAGAGCTGGGACCGCACCCTGTAGCCTTTCTGTCCAAACAGCTTGACCTTACTGTTTTAGGCTGGCCCCCACATTATTTCAGATACCACACCTGACCCCCATGACTGTATCTCTCTGATCCACCTGACATTCACTCCATTTCCCCATATTTTCTTCTTTCCTGTTCCTCACCCTGATCACACTTGGTTTATTGATGGCAGTTCCACCAGGCCTAATTGTCACTCATTAGCAAAGGCAGGCTATGCTATAGTATCTTCCACATCTATCCTTGAGGCTACCACTCTGCCCCCTCCACTACCTCTCAGCAAGCCAAACTCATTACCTTAACTGGAGCCCTCACTCTTGCAAAGCGACTATGCGTCAATATTTATACTGACTCTAAAGGGTATGCCTTCCATATCCTGCACCACCAAGCTGTTATATGGGCAGAAATAAGTTTCCTCACTATGCAAGGGTCCTCCATCATTAATGCCTCTTTAATAAAAACACTTCTCAAGGCCGCTTTACTTCCAAAGGAAGCTGGAGTCATTCACTGCAAGGGCCATCAAAAGGCATCAGATCCCATTGCTCAGGGTAATGCTTATGCTGTTAAGGTAGCTAAAAAAGCAGCTAGCATTCCAACTTCTGTTCCCCATGGAAGTTTTTCTCCTTCTCATCAGTCACTCCCACCTACTCCCCCACTGAAACTTCCAACTATCAATCTCTTCCCAAACAAGGCAAATGGTTCTTGGACCAAGGATCTCCTTCCAGCGTCATAGGCCCAATCTATTCTGTCGTCATTTCATAACCTCTTCCATGTAGGTTACAAGCTGGTAGCCCGCCTCTTAAAACCTCTCATTTCCTTTCCATCATGGAAATCTATCCTCACGGAAATCAATTCTTAGTGTTCCATCTGCTATTCTACTACTCCTCAGGGATTGTTCAGGCCCCCTCCCTTCCCTACAAGTCAAGCTTGACAATTTGCCACTGACCAGGACTGGCAAATTGACTTTACTCACATGACCCGAGTCAGGAAACTAAAATACCTCTTGGTCTGGATAGACACTTTCACTGGATGGGTAGAGGCCTTTCCCACAGGGTCTGAGAAGGTAACCGCCATAATTTCTTCCCTTCTGTCAGACATAATTCCTTGATTTGGCCTTCCCACCTCTATATAGTCCAATAACGGACCGGCCTTTATTAGTCAAATCGCCCAAGCAGTTTCTCAGACTCTTGGTATTCAGTGGAACCTTCATACCCCTTACTGTCCTCAATCTTCAGGAAAGGTAAAATGGACTAATGGTCTTTTAAAAACACAAATCATCAAGTTCAGCCTCCAACTTAAAAAGGAATGGACAATACTTTTACCACTTGCCCTTCTCAGAATTCTGGCCTGTCCTCAGGATGCTACAGGGTATAGCCCATTTGAGCTCCTGTATGGATGCTCCTTTTTATTAGGCCCCAGTCTCATTCTAGACACCAGCCCAACTTGAACCGCACCCCAAATACTTGTCATCCCTACTATCTTCTCTCTAGTCACACTCCTATTCATCATTCTCAACTACTCGTAAATATCCTGCCCTTGTTTACACTGGCAGTTTACACTTTTCCTTCAAACCATCATAACTGATATCTCCTGGTTTTACCTCAAACCACCACCCTTAATTCTCTTTTAAAGTGGATAGATGATCTTTGCTGACAGGGTACCCTCCAATACTTTCACCCTGATAACGTCCTATTCTTTACTTTTATATGCACTCTTATTCTTGTTCCCATTCTTATGCCACACTCTACCTCTCCCCAACTATCTCCACCACACTATCAATCTCACTCACTCTCTCCTAGCCATTTCTAATCCTTCTTTAACAAACAATTGCTGGCTTTGTATTTCTCTTTCCTCCAAAATCGTGGAGGCCTCGACTTACTCACTGCTAAAAAAAGAGGACTCTATTTTTAAATGAAGAGTGTTGTTTTTACCTAAATCAATCTGGCCTGCTGTATGACAACATAAAAAAACTCAAGGATAGAGCCCAAAAAACTCTCCAACCAAGCAAGTAATTATGCTGAACCCACTTGGGCACCCTCTAATTGGATGTCCTGGGTCCTCCCAATTCTTAGTCCTTTAATACTTGTTTTTCTCCTTCTCTTATTCGGACCTTGTGTCGTCCGTTTAGTTTCTCAATTAATACAAAACCATATCCAGGCCATCAGCAATCATTTTATATGACAAATGTTTTTTCTAACAATCCCACAATATCACCCCTTACCACAAAATCTTCCTTCAGCTTAATCTCTCCCACTCTAGATTCCCATGCCGCCCCTAATCCTGCTTGAAGCAGCCCTGAGAAACATCGCCCATTATCTCTCCATACCACCCCCAAAAATTTTCGCCACCCCAACACTTTACCACTATTTCATTTTATTTTTCTTATTAATATAAGAAGACAGGAATGTCAGGCCTCTGATCCCAAGACTGCATGTATACATCCAGATGGCCTGAAGTAACTGAAGATTCACAAAATAAGTGAAAATGGCCAGTTCCTGCTTTAACTGATGACATTACCTTGTGAAATTCCTTCTCCTGGCTCAGAAGCTCCCCCACTGAGCACCTTGTGACCCCCACCCCTGTCCACCAGAGAACAACCACCTTTGACTGTAATTTTCCATTACCTACCCAAATCCTATAAAACGGCCCCAACCCTGTCTCCCTTCACTGACTCTCTTTTTAGACTCAGCCTGTCTGTACCTAGGTGATTAAAAAGCTTTATTGCTCACACAAAGCCTGTTTGGTGGTCTCTTCACAGGGACGCATGTGACAGTTTGTTCCTGAATACAAATAATAACAGAAGAATAAAGAGGTATTCATGTAAACATCGATTCATTACTTCTATTTAAAAGGCAGATTCTGCATTACTTTCATAACTGAGAATCCATGAAATTAGTATGAAAATAATGTCTACCTCAGCTAGATACGAAGAGAGGCTACATTTTGTAGCAAGCACTAGGTTTCTTGCTCTCTTACGTTAGGGCTTTTTCCAATCATCTTTAATTTATACAGGTAAATTAGGTGAGAGCATACCTTAATAAAGGATTTGATTTGGTAGAAAGTCTTAAATTTGGTAATCACAGAGCACAGCTGGAAAATACTTGCAGACATCCATTACATACTTGAAGAACAAAACGTTACATTCTACACAGGTTTTAAATCAATAAAGGTGTAAAGCAGGAGAAGAGTCAACAAATGTGTTCCAGCTATTGATTGTATTATTTTGGTTACTTTGGTCACTTCAACAGTCTATGCTTTAGACTTCTCAAATGTAAATAAATTTGTAGTTTGGACAACAGATTTTTAAAGTTCAATTAGTATAGATAAACTAGAATTTATATGTATCCCAAATTTAATTTCTAGTTTTAAAAATGGAGAATTATCTCATAAAAGATCTATGTTTTTAAAAGCTACTTAATAGACACTGTGCTGCACTGCTCAGACCCTTTCCCTTCCCAACCTCTGCCCAACTTCCAGGATCAACACACTCATTCACCATTCTTCCAGCTTCTGAAAATGTTGCCTGGGAGGGCTCACCACTGAGACCTGCCCCAGGAATAGCTATCCACAGAACAAAGCTTCCTTGCCTATGTCTAAGTGCCTCACCCTGGAGGTATCTCAAATCCAATGACTGGTCAATTGGGGGTTACAAAGATTTGGCCCCCTGACTTCAAGACAGTACCGCTGTAAGCTATCATTTCATCTGCAGAGCTCCTGTCAGATCTTCTGAGACCTCTATGGACCTGTATCATATAGTTCCAGTTCTGCCTTGCCTCTTTAGTCAATCGTTATTGATTGTTGTCCCAAGCATACTTCCCAACAAATCTGCTGCATGCAATATGCCTGCCAGCCTGTTTTCAAGGAAACCTAACCTAAAACGTCATTCATCCTTAAGGCTAGAAGACCATAAAAGGCAAATAAGTCATCAGTTCCCCCCAAATGACTGTTTCTAAACCAATCTGTGGCCAAACCTTAGTCAGTTACTACATACTGAAGAACGAGGCAAAAAATCTTAATTTAATCCATGTCTTTGGTCCCTTAGTCACTATCTGAAACAACCATAACTAAATCCACTTATGGAGAGTTTACTATATTCCAATTAACTGCACTTTTATAAAGAAGTAAACAAAAGATTATGTTAATTTTCATGTCCACAGTCATAATACTAGAAAGTAGAGCATACAGGTCTCCATCCCAAGCTGTAGTAGTCCAAAATCCACGATCTGCTACTACACAAGGTCCTATAATTTCCATCAATCTTGTCAGCAAACATGTGTGAGGTTTTACCATGAGAAAATATAGGTGTACCACAGCAAGAAACAATCACAATTTCCTTGGAAAACCCATCAAATCAGGATATCCTTCTTGTGTAGGGAAGTCAATGACATGTATGAAAAATAGTGAAGCATTTTAAATAATCAAAACTCCAACCTTTGCCCTCCTAATAAATTAGTGCTTAAAGCTTAGCTTTACCTTGACCAAAATAGTATTTCTGTGCCATGTCTTTTGTACTTTGAAGTTACACTTTCAGTGTGAAAAGCTTAATCTCCATCTTAAAAAGTGAGCTAAAACTCAAACTACTGAATTTGTAATAGCTGTATATATTATTGATTTGATTGTTTCTAACTGGCACAGTATATGAAAATAAGTATTAGATTTTTTAAAAACGGGGATTTATTCAAATTTCACCACTTCACACTATTAGAAGAGCTTAGTAGTATGGACAATCCAAAGCTTTCACATTACTATAGAAAACACATATTTGTGTTTTCAATAAACCTCAGTTCTAAATGGTAATTTTAGACTTATTTTTGTTTTCTGACTCCAGCTACATAGATGTCCAAAAGTAAGAGCAGTGTTAGCAATATGAAAGCCCTCAGCATGGACGGATAGTGTGGCAGGAGAGAGACAGTGCAGAACAGTTAATAACATGCCTTCAGCCAGACAGGTCTGTGTTTGTATCTCACCTCTACCTCAACTAAATGTGTGATTTTAAGGGCATGCTATTTAGTCTCTCTGAGCCACATTCTTTTCTGCGTCACCGAGTTAACAATACACGTCTCATAGGAATATAATAAGAATTAAATAATATAATATTTGCAAAAGCTATGAAAGAACCTCTTAGGCACTTAATTAGTAGGTACTATTATCTTTGACAAAGATGTGATACTCACTGTTTAGTGGGAATCACCATATGGGAAATTGCTTTGTTTTACTTCAAGGGAACTCTTAAGACAACTATGCAGTGAAAATGTTTGAAAGCACGCATTTTACATTTCTAAGTGCCAAACAGAAGTAATTGGACCGAGAAGGAAATGGCAGGAAGAGACTGTAAATTAGCATAATAGCATAATGTAAAATCTAGCTTAGAAATATTTGCCCTACTCAAATTCATTTCTAGGTAGCAGCAAGTTTGCCTATTTTCCACTTATGAAAACAAAAACTCCCTTGGGGGATAGTACAAATGAGCGAGCTTGTAACCCCCCAAATCTGGGAAAGCTATAAACCATTTCTTAAGCCTACGTGATAAACAGATGGTCTGATAAAAATAATTTCTTTGCCTTAAAATTTTATTTAAAGCCAACTATTGTAACAATTTAAAATATCTATGAGATAGAGTGGTTTTAAGAAAACAGTTAGTATTTATAATTGAGATCTAATAAAGCATAAGTAAAACATACAGAAACTGATGTTTAAAACATGAATGAATGTGAATGCAAAACCTGACCTCACAGAGTCAAGTTCTATTCCAGCCTACAAGGTGCTAGGTGAATCTAAGAAATATTGACGCATTTGTCAGATAAGCACAGAATTAGGAACAAGTAATTTTCTGTTATTATTTGCACTGAGAATAAGGGAGGTGAGTGAAAAATGACTTCATCGTAGACCAGATATAATCTACAAATTGCGTCTATTTGTCTTTGGTGGTTCTTTCTAAAGACCTTTGCCATAGGTACATTTCCCCTCCTCTTTTGTTAGAGAGAAATAAGCACCATGACCTCAAATATTAGACTTTAATTAAATACTCTATTCTGACTCAGTCTACTCCAAATGAGAGCCACTTTGGAAATAAATATTTCTCCTTTCTTCTTTATCCCTCCAACATTTCCTTTTCTGTAGTTGCACCCTCTAAGGAAGACTGTGCTATAAAGAGATGGGGGGAGGCTCTGTCTACAAACCATTTCTCAAGCTAGGTCCTGAACTCTATATATTAGGTGGTTTTTACTCTTTCAACAGATATGCATTGATTATGCACCACATACTGTGCTATGAATTCATCTTTCAAAGGGCTCATGGAGCTTATGGTCTATGAGGAGAACAGATATTAATTAAACAAATAATTTAATGACTGGTGTTGAAGAGTGTACATGGGATGGATGCTCATAAAAGGAAAGGTCAGGAAACTTAATCTAATAGGGAAGGGTTAGTGAAGGCTCCTCAGCAGAAGTGATATGAAGATGAGATGTGAAGGATGAGTAAGAGTTCCCAGACAAAGAGAATGGGTGGAGTTTAAGGTGTGAATACATGGAAGAAAATGAGGTTGGTTCCCAGGGTGAGACCCAAAAGTGGGAAAATGAGAAAGCATTAACTAAATGAGTGAACAAAATTTAGTGGGATTGGCAGCATGGGGTGGTTCATGCCTGTAATCCCAGCACTTTGGGAGGCTGAGGCAGGAGTATTGCTTGAGGCTAGGAGGTTGAGATTAGCCTGGGCAACATAGCGAGGCCCTATCTCTACACAATTTTTTAAAAAGTTTAGCCAGGCATGGTGGCATGTGCCTGTAGTCCCAACTACTCAGGAGGCTAAGCCCGGGTGTCCAAGTTGGAGTGAGCCATGATCACACCACTGCTGTCCAGCCTGGGTGACAGAGGCAGACCTTGTCTCAAAAAAAAAAAAAAGAAAGAAAGAAAGCAAAAAAATTAATGAGATTATATATTAAAGAACTCCTCAAAACCATTAATACACTAGTAGGCACTATGCACTTTAAAATATATATTAATCAGCATTTTCCAAACTAGGCCATTGAAAAATGTATTTTATTTCACTCTCTCCTTCCTTTTTCCTTTTCCCTTCCCCTTCCCCTTACCCCTTCCCCTTCTCCTTCCTTCCTTCCTTCCTTCCTTCCTTCCTTCCTCCTGTGCCCCCTCTCCCGATCTGGGATGATTTCCAGAGAACAATCTTTCTTTAAAAGAATGGAAGAAGTGGTCTCCAATAACCTGCTTTACTACAATTATCCTTTTTTCTCCTCTCTGTCATTTTGGTAAAATATTCTTATAGAACCAGAAGAAATAAGACTTTTTTTTCTTAAATGAAAAAGTAAGAAAAGAAAAACTATGATGGAGACTGTATACATCCAACCTCTTTATCTTCATCTCTTGCACTTCTGAACCTGAATCTTCTGAAACAAGCCTGCAATGCACTCACAGCCTTCGTACTGAGGGCTCCCTGGGCCACCTCAAGAGTGAAGGCCCAGGGTGAGATGTCCTTTGCTGTAGGAGGCAACCCATAGGGAGGCTCCAGAACCTCATGTAACTAATGGAGGTTCCCTGAGGTGAGGAAAATCTTGTCTTTTTCCACCAACCCAAACACATTATTTCCCAAAGTGGTCACTAAACCAATATTTGTTCTCCAAGAACAATGTACTGTTCTTATTTCCACACTTTGAGATTCCACAGGGGGAAAGAACAAACCTTTCATTTATATGACAAAAATATCAAGTACATGAGGCTATCCTCATGTCATTTTAATTATTGATGAACTTGTTAGAGCTTTATACTGCTATCCCACTTTTCCTTTTGATTCATATCCAAACTGTTATTTGGGCATTGATGACAGTGAATATGAAAAAAAAGAATTCTGAATTTTAAAAGTAATCAAATTCTCTTTCAAAGGTCTACATCACATGAAAGTATTCAGGAGCTCATGGTAACCAAAATAATTTTCATGGAATTCCAAAAAGGATTCAAGTTGAGTAAGCAAAATATGTTTTTAGATGATGATGTTTATGAATACTTTAGCAGAATCCTCATAACAGAGACTATTTGGAAGTGAGCTGTTCTCACTGACATGATTGGTGTCCCCAGAACACAAGATAAGCACTCCCATCCCTCAAATTCTCTATTGTGCTTAAATTCTCCTTTCTCACAGTGGCCTCTAAAGTGCTGAAGCCCTTTAGCACTGGAAGCTATGTTGGACAACCAACGATCTAATGTGGTGGTTGTCAACTGTAGGTGATTTTGCCCCTCAAAAGGCATCTGGCTACATTTGGAGACACTTTTGACAGTCACAGTGGGGGATACTATTGCCTTCTAGTGGGTCAAGGCTAAAGATGCTGCAAAACATCCTATAATACACAGAACAACACATCCTATCGAAGAATTACCTGATCTAATATGTCAATGCTGTCGTGATTGAAAAATCCTGATCTATTGCGATAATCCTTGCAAACACTTCTGTGAGATAGCTCTTTGTAATTTCTAGACTGGTCTCATTGTTAGAAATGTCTTTATTGGGTTAAATAAAAATGTATTTTCCTAAAACTTTCTGCCTATTGGGATCCCAAAGGAAAAAAAAATCAACTCTTTCACCCCCATGACAGATTTTCAGTAACTGAGACTACTCTCATATTCCCAGTTTCTCATTTTCAAGTTGAAAAGCCACATGCTCATGTCTTGTACTTGCTTCTCAAAAAAAGCATAATTTCAGAAATGAAAGCAATAATCCAAGTTAAAACCAGGCATTTTAAGATAATGAAAGTAATAATAATATCTGTATTACCAAGTATTGACCACTAATGATGTACCAAGGGTTTTATACACATTATTTTATAAACTAATATTGACAATATCAAAGATGCCCTTCCAGGTAAGTATCACTAGCACTGTTTTGCAGATGATGAAACTGAGCCTTAGCAAGGTTGAGAGAGACATTCAGACACAGACGTAACAAGTGAGGGATCTGGAATTGAGTTCTAAAGTCCTTGCCCTTTGTGTGAATAGTTACCACTATTTTATTTCACATATAATTCAGTTTTCCTTTCTCAACTGTCTCCTACCTCCAGTTCCTTTTCTTCTGTCTGTACCTACATTCCCTTCTCTCCTCTTTCTTTTCTTCCCATCTTTGCCTCAAGCTGGCCACAGGGCTATCACACCTGTTACCATAATCACATCTTAAGAAGCAGGCCAGGCCGTAGAAGGGACTTATTTAAAGCCCTTCCAGCTCTACACACTACTTCTTTTGTATTTCCCCTTTGCCTTGTGAAAAGGGCCTAGGCCTGCTGAAAGAAATTAGATCTAGAAGCCTCTCTTCAGTGTGAACATAGGTTAAAAATTCTTTGATACACTGTTTTAAGAAAGCAAAAAGTTTTCAATGATTGAGTATATACTAAAAAGTAAACTAACCTCTATATTTTTTATGAATACAAGGATTCATTATACTATTCTCTCTACTTTTGTTTATGTTGAAAAATAGTTTAAAAAACAACAACAAAAAACTCTTGCTGCTCTGTACTTGACATTCAGCAACTGATTTCTTTTCTTATTCCATATTTTCTATTTAATGCTATGGTGAAGAAATGATTTTCAAAATAAAGTTGCCAACACAAGGGAAGGTTAATTTCTGAAGTAATTTTTATTGTTATTATTATAGTTTAAGTTCTAGGGTACATGTGCACAACGTGCAGGTTTGTTACATATGTATACATTTGCCATGTTGGTTTGCTGCACCCATTAACTCGTCATTTACATTAGGTATTTCTCCAAATGCTATCCCTCTCCTAGCCCCCACCCCATGACAGGCCCTGGTTTGTGATGTTCCCCACCCTGTGTCCAAGTGTTCTCATTGTTCAGTTCCCAACAATGAGTGAGAACATGTGGTGTTTGCTTCTCTGTCCTTGTGATAGTTTGCTCAGAATGATGGTTTCCAGCTTCATCCATGTCCCTACAAAGGACATGAACTCATCCGTTTTTATGGCTGCATAGCATTCCATGGTGTATATGTGCCACATATTCTTAATCCACTCTATCATTGATGGACATTTGGGTTGGTTCCAAGTCTTTGCTAGTGTGAATAGTGCTGCAATAAACATACGTGTGCATGTGTCTTTATAGTAGCATGATTTGTAATCCTTTGGGTATATACCTAGTAATGGGATCACTGGGTCAAATGGTGTTTCTAGTTCCAGATCCCTGAGGAATCGCCACACTGTCTTCCACAATGGTTGAACTAGTTTACACTTCCACCAACACTGTAAAAGCATTCCTATTTCTCCACATCCTCTCCAGCATCTGTTGTTTCCTGACTTTTTAATGATCATCATTCTAACTGGTGTGAGATAGTATCTCATTGTGGTTTTGATTTGCATTTCTGTGATGGCCAGTAATGATGAGCATTTTTTCATGTGTCTGTTGGCTGCATAAATGTCTTCTTTTGAGAAGTGTCTGTTCATATCCTTTGCCCACTTTACGATGGGGTTGTTTGCTTTTTTCTTGTAAATGTGTTTAAGTTCTTTGTAGATTCTGGATATTAGCTCTTTGCCAGATTGGTAGATTGCAAAAATTTTCTCCCATTCTGTAGGTTGCCTGTTCACTCTGATGGTAGTTTCTTTTGCTGTGCAGAAGCTCTTTAGTTAAATTAGATCCCACTTGCCTATTTTAGCTTTTTTTTTTTTGCTTTTGGTTTTGGTGTTTTAGTTATGAAGTCCTTGCCCATGCCTATGTCCTGAATGGTATTGCCTAGGTTTTCTTTTAGGGTTTTTATGGTTTTAGATCTAACATTTAAGTCTTCAATACATCTTGAATTAATTGTTGTATAAGGTGTAAGGAAGGGATCCAGTTTCAGCTTTCTACATACAACTAGCCAGTTTTCCCAGCACCATTTATTAAACAGGGAATCCTTCCCCCATTTCTTGTTTTTGTCGTTTGCCAAAGATCAGATGGTTGTAGATGTGTGGTGTTATTTCTGAGGGCTCTGTTCTGTTCCATTGGTCTATATCTCTGTTTTGGTAGCAGTACCATGCTGTTTTGGTTACTGTAGCCTTGTAGTATAGTTTGAAGTCAGCTAGCATGAGGCCTCCAGCTTTGTTCTTTTGGCTTAGGATTGTCTTGGCAATACGGGCTCTTTTATGGTTCCATAGGAACTTTAAAGTAGTTTTTTCCAATTCTGTGAAGAAAGTCATAGGTAGCTTGACGGGGATGGCATTGAATCTATAAATTACCATGGGAAGTATGGCTATTTTGACGATATTGATTCTTCCTGTCCATGAGCAAGAAATGTTCTTCCATTTGTTTGTGTACTCTTTCATTTTGTTGAGTGGTGCTTTGTAGTTCTCCTTGAAGAGGTCCTTCAGATTCCTTGTAAGTTGGATTCCTAGGTATTTTATTCTCTTCGAAGCAATTGTGAATGGGAGTTCACTCATGCTTTGCCTCTCTGTTTGTCTGTTATTGGTGTATAGGAGTGCTTGTGATTTTTGCACATCGATTTTGTATCCTGAGACTTCGCTGAAGTTGCTTATCAGCTTAAGGAGATTTTGGGCTGAGATGATGGGGTTTTCTAAATATACAATCATGTCATCTGCAAACAGGGACAATTTGACTTCCTCTTTTCCTAATTGAATACCCTTTACGTGCCCCAATTAAGAGACACAGACTGGCAAATTGGATAAAGAGTCAAGACCTATCTGTGTGCTGTATTCAGGAAACCGATCTCATGTGCAGAGACACACATAGGCTCAAAATAAAAGGATGGAGGAAGATCTACCAAGTAAATGGAAAACAAAAAAATGCAGGGGTTGCAATCCTAGTCTCTGATAAAACAGACTTTAAACCAACAAAGATGAAAAGGGACAAAGAAGACTATTACGTAATGGTAAAGGGATCAATTCAGCAAGAAGAGCTAATTATCCTAAATATATATGCACCCAATACAGGAGCACCCAGATTCATAAAGCAAGTCCTTGGAAACCTACAAAGAGACTTAGACTCCCACTCAATAATAGTGGGAGACTTTAACACCCCACTTTCAATATTAGACAGATCAATGAGACAGAAGGTTAACAAGGATATCTGGACTTGAACTCAGCTCTGCCCCAAGTGGACCTAATAGATATCTACAGAACTCTCCACCCCAAATCAACAGAATATACATTCTTCTCAGCACCACATCACACTTATTCCAAAATTGACCACATAGCTGTAAGTAAAGCACTCCTCAGAAAATGTATAAGAAGAGAAATCACAACAAACTGTCTCTCAGACCACAGTGCAATCAAGTTAGAACTCAGGATTAAAAAACTCACTCAAAACTGCACAATTACATGGAAACTGAACAACCTGATCCTGAATGACTACTGGGTACATAACAAAATGAAGGCAGAAATAAAGATGTTCTTTGAAACCAATGAGAACAAAGACACAATATACCAGAATCTCTGGGACACATTTACAGCAGTGTGTAGAGAGAAATTTATAGCACTAAATGCCCACAAAAGAAAGCAGGAAAGATCTAAAATTGACACCCTAATATCACAATAAAAAGAACTAGAGAAGCAAGAGCAAACGAATTCAAAAGCTAGCAGAAGGCAAGAAATAACTAAGATCAGAGCTGAACTGAAGCAGAGAGAGACACAAAAAACACTTCAAAAAATCAATGAATGCAGGAGCTGGTTTTTTGAAAAGATCAACAAAATTGACAGACTGCTAGCAACAGTAATAAAGAAGAAAAGAGAGAAGAATCAAATAGATGTAATAAAAATAATAAAAGGGATATGACCACTGATCCCACAGAAATACAAACTACCATCAGAGAATACTATAAACACCCCTACACAAATAAACTAGAAAATCTAGAAGAAATGGATAAATTCCTCAACACATACACCCTCCCGAGACTAAACCAGGAAGAAGTTGAATCCCTGAAAAGACCAATAACAGGCTCTGAAATTGAGATGGTAATTAACAGCCTACCAACCAAAAAAAAGTCTAGGATCAGACAGATTCACAGCCAAATTCTACCAGAGGTACAAAGAGGAGATGGTACTATTCCTTCTGAAACTATTCCAATCAATAGAAAAAGAGGGAGTCCTCCCTAACTCATTTTATGAGGCCAGCACCATCCTGATACCAAAGCCTGGCAGAGACACAACAAAAAAAGAGAATTTTAGACCAATATCCCTGATGAACACTGATGCAAAAATCCTCAATAAACTACTGGCAAACCGAATCCAGCAGCACATCTAAAAGCTTATCCACCAAGATCAAGTTGGCTTAATCCCTGGGATGCAAGGCTGGTTCAACATATGCAAATCAACAAATGTAATCCATCACATAAACAGAACCAAAGAGAAAAACCACTTGATTATCTCAATAGATGTAGAAAAGGCCTTCGACAAAATTCAACAGCCCTTCATGCTAAAAATTCTCAATAAACTAGGTATTGATGGAACGTATCTCAAAATAATAAGAGCTATTTATAACAAACCCACAGCCAATATCATACTGAATGGGCAGAAACTGGAAGCATTCCCTTTGAAAACTGGCACAAGACAGTGATGCCCTCTCTCACCGCTCCTATTCACCATAGTGTTGGAAGTTCTGGCCAGGGCAATCTGAAGTAAATTTCTTATGAACCCAGGATTAGGCAAAACTTCTTAAGTTATTTAAGTAAAGACAAACTTACTTGTGTATTTTCTCCCTTTTCAATCATTCCCTTCTATTTTCATGTTACCAATTTCATGTATATGGGATGTATAGATGCAGACAGATGGGAACATGTTTTACAACATGCTTTACAACATGTTTCCATCTGTATGCATGTATACATACCATATATATAAAATAGTTTTGCTATCTTTCTTAAATATACATTTAAACATGTGGTCTCTGCTCTCAATTATCTTTCTTAGAAAATGAATAAAGTCCAAATATCCAACATTAGTGAGAATATTAAATAAATTACAGTACTTTCCTACTGTGAAATATTATACGGTCATTAACATGAATGAGGCACATACAGTAATATGGAAAGATGTCCATCACATGTAGTTGAGTGAAAGGAGCCAGTTACAAAACAATATGATCCAGCAAATAAATATTAGAAACTCATGTATGCAGAAGCTTATGGGAAAATATCTGGAAAGATATATGTCAAACAGTAGAGAAAAGGATTGGAAAGTGGGGAAAATTTTTTTTAAGTTTCTATTTTATTTTATATCTGTGAATTGTCTAAATGTTTATAATGAACTCATGCTATTTTTATAATAATATTAAATGATATGCTGACTATCTAATCATATTTGATGGTGTCCATTATTTAGCTAGATGCCCTCCCATGCCATTATTTACTCCATTTGATTTTTCTAATTTTACTTCCCATTCTCTCTCCCATTACACTGGATTTTACCTTTTCTAAACACTGCCTGTTTTGTTTAATGCTTCCACCTCAACCCAGAGTATCTGTGTTTCCCCTAAATTCCATCTCCAAAGAAAATTGTGCATATATTAGATTTCCATATACATTAAAATACTCCATAAAAGGAGAAAAGTAAATATTCAAGAAATTATATATATATATAAAATTTCTTTTTTGAGACAAGGTCTCACTCTCTTGCCCAGGCTGGAGAGCACTGGTGGGATCAAGGCTCAATGAAACCTCAAACACTGGGGCTCAAGCAATCCTCCTGCCTCAGCCTTCCTAGTAGCTGGGACTACAGGTGTGTACCACCACACCTGGCTTTTTTATTTATTTATTTACTGTAGAAACGGGGTCTCCTTATGTTTCGCAGGCTGGTCTTAAAATCCTGGGTTCAAGTGGTCTTCCTACCTTGACCTCCCAAAGTGCTGGGATTACAGGCATGAGTCACAGTGCTTGGCCTGTATTTTGAATCAACAAGCTTTAATATGTTTTAATACATTACTTCCTGAATTGTAAGGTGTCAAAAAATAATAAAGAGTAGTTACAAAGTTCTTGAGCAGATAACTATTTTCCTTGTAAAAAGATGGCTTACTTAAACATCAAGAATACTATGATAGCCTTGAATACCTTTTAGAATGAGATAGGACACAAAAAAAGAAAAAGATGCATAGCACCCTACAAATGTGAAAAAGCACGAGATATGTTTCTTACCATTGTGAGGGTAAATGGATGATTTTCTAATGCAGATATACTGGGACAATGTAGAGTAATATACTAAAAAGCAAAAAACGGATAAGTTTTAAATGACCAATTAAGAATTGCAACTATTTCAACGATGCTATGTTTGCTAAATTCCAAAAATTACATAAGGATAAAGGCTATTTAAAAAGTTGCTGACCACTGACTCACCTGACCAGGTCTTGCTTTAAAATTTTCTTTGACCATCCGGATTTCCATGACATCTGAGGGATGACTTATGACCAAAATGATGGTGACTGGCTTATTGCTCCGCATATACCTGTAAAGTCTTTCAGCACAGTACAGGCACAAAGGTCCAGAAATCCAAAGCCAAGTCTAAGACAAATTTTTGAAAATATACTTCAAGAAATACTCGTATTGTAGAAATCTACACCCTGCCCAATTGCTCATTGCATACATTACAGTAATAGTATTTTAATTTGTATTTTAAATAAGAAAATATAATAAATGAGTAAAAAACAATAGATGCTCACTATCATTCAAACAAACAAAAGTATAAAATAAAACACAAAGTAATATCAAGACCCTGCCCTCATTCTCATGCTCTGGGTGTAACTATCCATGAACAAACAAGTGTATATTCTTTCATACACCTTTCTATGCCTACAGATATGTAATGTATATACACAACATATTTAATAAAAGAATACAGGGAAGTTAACAATCTCCGATAAATATGGGGATAATTTTAGAAATAAAGTAACAGTCTAATGTTTATTAAATAAGAAAACCCTAGATTTTTAATGTACATAATGTATATGCATAATATACATACATATGTGTATATATGTTAAATATGTATAGCACATATGTTTAAAAATGCATTATGCTAGGCATGTTGTTTACCACTTACTTTTATATAATATAATAAGAACATAAAATAATATTTATAATTTGGAAACCTGACAATTTTGAATATGTGTTGCATGGTTAGCCCTGATCCCAGGACACATGCAAACTTTGGGACGTGCAGAAGCCTATGTGGCTTACTGTTCTCTTAAAATTACACACTTTATCTTTCACATCCCTTTGAGGCCTCCAACTAAAACTTGTCTTAATGGTCACTTTTTAAAGCCTCACTCTAGTTGTTTCAAATCTTCTTTCTTTCATGCAGACAGATCATGCCTCTTCTGCATATAATAACATTTAGCCCCACACTGTGTTATGAGTAGCATTGCAAGACAAGGTCTGCAATGTAGCAGCCTTGCACCTTTGAGATAATCACTTACTCTTTGAGTGTCAGGTCCCACATGAGCAAAACGGGAGTCACCATACCTGCCCTGTCTAATATTTGTGAATATTATGTGAAACTCAGAAAAGTTCTGAAAATTATAGAGACTAGTAGGGATCTAGAGGATTATTATTAATAATAATAAACACATCACTAATACACTATTCCAAAGTCATCTACAAATTCATTCTAGCTTTTGACTTCTCTTTCTTCTCTTCCAATAGAGACATTTGACATCACTATTTCCTACTTCCACTTTTTATAGATGAGGAATAAACAGTGTAATTTGCATGGGGGTAGTTCTCACAGGCACAGAGGAAGATAAGGGCCCTTATTGAACTAATTGCTGAATACTTATGGACGTTTACCAGGAGCAAGCATATTAGTCAAAGACCTGTGTTTACATGCTTCCTCTGCCACTTACTGGTTTGGAGACTTTGATTAAGGTAAGTACAATTTCTTTATCAGAAAATCGAGGGTGATATTAATTACCTCAAATAGTCATTGCGAATATTGCAAGAAACATTCTGTATGTCTAATAAGTGTTCTGTATTAGGCATACGGGACATTTTAGCACAATGCTTGGCAGATAATATTAAGCATTCAATCAACTGATTTTGCTATTTACTATTTACAATATTATACATAATATTATAATACAATAAAATAATAATTTGTGATATTGGTGGTAGTTTTTTTACTACTATTTTTATTATTAAATCAGCTTTTCTCAAATGATGGGAAAAATATTTGTCATCTCTTGGCTGCAAGCACCAGTGCTGTTGTATGCAAAGCTCATATGGTCAGTTAAGTAGAAATGTTATATATCCTCTAATACCATAGATCTTTTGCATTCAACTGTCAAGTACCTGTAATGGAATAATAGGTACTAACTTACTGTTGAAACATCCTGAAATATCCTATTATGCATGAATATATAGCTTGAAAAACACATTTATATGTGATGTTGATCAGTCAAATGGAAACAAACTTTGTGGAGATCAAACACAAAATTAATCTGACCTGTGGAAAATTAGCTTGGAATCTGGGCTCTTCCATACAAATCTTCACAAATGTGTTCTGGGTAAACTCTTCCAGTTTTGAAAATCCTTCAGGGAAAGGTTCATGAAAATGTTCTGAGATATACTCTGGTAAGGAAATATTCTGAGAGCTGGTTCAGTTAAGACTGATACAGCCGGGAGGGTTGGTATCTAAATTAGTTTGATACTTCAGCAGCCCTCTAAAATTAAATTAAAAAAAAAACAAACAGAGAAATGAAAAGATTTGAGATCAGGGGACACGGTAAAAGAAAATAATGTCTTTGTTTTTGTTTTTTTTTTTGCTAACTTTACACAACATTTATCTAAAAAGTGTTCCTTATGTATTATGTTTAGGAGAAATTGAAAAATCTTAAAAAATGTTAAGAAATTCTTATCTATAGGACTAAAACAAAAATTTTGGCACTCCAAACAAATGCTATAAATATGCAGTAGAAAAGAATACATGCAATCTCTCCAGGCATTGTTGAATTTGACGGCCTTTACTTCAAGACTATTAGGCATTCATACAATCACATACAAGTTTTCACTTCAATAAACAGTATAATGAGGAATATTTTGCTAGATCTCCAAACATAAGGGAAAAATACAGGGAACATATTTAACTTGGCCAAGCCTGGATAAAACAAGCCTTGCGGATTTGCAGAGAAATGTTAAACAGAAATAACTGGAACTGGAAGCTTGTCTCTCCTATGGTCTGAAAACAATGTATATACAGCAATCAGTCCCTAAATCTGTTTACTTTTCAATTTCTCCATAGACAGAACCACATAAAAAGTTCAAAATAATAAATCAGGTAGGAGAGCCCACACCATAAAAATCTCATTCTGATTATTTCTTATTTTGTGAGAAACCAAGACAAACCATTCAACTTTCTGTGTCCTGCCTTTCTTGTCAAGAAGTGGTTAACATCTATCTCGTAGGGATAATGCATAAAATGACAGATTGTACACAGCATCAACAAGGTCACTGCTGCATAAGCAAGTATTGCATGACAAAGTAAGATTTGGAAATGCTTGAAAATTTTGCAGTATATTTTATTATTTTAAAGAATGCTAAGGAAAAATTTATTTCCAAGATTATCTGTTTTTGGTGGGCTTACAGTACATGCTTTTTAAACTTTCATGCTCCCAAATACTTAATTTTAGTAGTTTAATTGCCTGAGGTCAGGAGTTCGAGACCAGCCTGACCAACATGGAGAAGCCCCGTCTCTACTAAAAAACATACAAAATTAGCCAGGTGTGGTGCTGCATGCCTGTAATCCCAGCTACTTGGGAGGCTGAGGCAGGAGAATTGCTTGAACCCGGGAGGCGGAGGTTGCGGTGAGCCTGAGATCGCACCATTGCACTCCAGCCTGGACAATAAGAGCAAAACTCCATCTCAAAAATAAATAAATAACGGCTATGATGCTTTTACAAAAATAATATTTTTAAACAAAAACTGTATAATGATACTAAGAGATCCATATATGAAGGTTGGGAAAGCAATGACCAGGCCAGTCTCTGGTTGTATTCGCCATCTCCTCGTCCTGATCACTTTCCTTTCTTCCCTCTTTGCTTATGCTCACTTCCTTTTTTAAATTTTATTTTCTTCCTTAAAACTAGTCATCATGAAGTCATTAGGGAGCATTCAGTACACGTCAGGGGCATGCATTACATGACATCGTAGTAGACCACACACAAACATACTTTTTTTTTAAAGTAATACAGTAGATACAGCCTATGTATGAGATAAATTGATAAATATTATACAAAATTGAGCCACATTTTTGTCACTAATCATTTATAAGTTTCCAGTCACACAATACAATTGCTGGGATATTATACTTAGACAACCTGTGAATTTGATTCAGCTTTCTTTACATTAATAATTTACCCAAACCTTTTGCTCCTATTGGCCATCGGAAGGATAGTGACTGATAGCTAAGTAGGTAAAAAACCCCGAGCATTTATTCTACTGGCCAAAAGTTGAACAGACATGAGCATAATGCACTTAGCACTACTTCAATGGTTCTTCAGAATTCAGTAGAGTCAAATCCGGCTCCTAACACTCCAGAAACTCATGATCTAGTTTGGAAGATATCTTCAAAGAAGCTGAACATAAGTCAGACTACAGATACTAACTGGAGTAGTGTTTTAATAATAGCTTAGTAATGTATGGAAAACACCAGGTCTAGCCCAGAGAAATTTATATGCATTTTACGTTATCCTCACAAAAACTGCATGAACTAGGATCATTATTCCCATTTTAAAATTTAAAAATAAAAGTATTTTAAAAGATGAAATAATACCCCAGTGTCACACAGTTGATAAGTAGCAGGGCCAAGATTTGAATTCAGATCTGATTCAAATTCTATGCTCTTCACCTCTCATGATATATCACATTAGTTCACTGAATCCTCACAACATAACTCTGAGAAAGGTAAGGAAGGGGGAAGATTAATACTTGCTAAGAAAGTATCACATCAGTAATTTTTAGAACATCTATTTCTCATTTAAACTTCAAAACAAAATAATCATACAAGGTAAGTATTTTTATTTCTATTACACAGATGAGAAACCTAAGGCTTTCATTCAGGTAAAAGATTAACTAAGTATAGTCAAAGCACAGGGTTCAGAAACCTACCTAGCTCACTCCATGCCCCTATGTCATGCAAAGCAAATCAGATGGTTAAAGAGGTAGACATTGTAAAAGGGGTTCAAAATAAACAAAAATCAGATTGTGTGTGTGTGTGTGTGTGTGTGT
Source organism: Homo sapiens (assembly GCF_000001405.40). Lineage (NCBI taxonomy): Eukaryota > Metazoa > Chordata > Mammalia > Primates > Hominidae > Homo > Homo sapiens. The sequence goes on along the minus strand of NC_000011.10, from coordinate 49,303,152 downwards.
GTGTGTGTGTTGGAATGGGGCTGCTTATAATTTAGGGTCCTAACACCAGGCAAATAAATGTCGTTAATCCCTTCTCCTGTCATAACATTCAAGTGGACATAACTGTACCATGCTCTAGGTCCTTAGAGTAGTGAATGTTGTTACTATACAGTAAAGTTCTTCAGGCCAGCCCAATCAAACAGTTTTGCTGTTCTTGGCACATAAAGTGGCACGTATTATTCTAAAATTCCTTTTAATTTTGAGAGCTTTGTATTATGTTCAGCTACACTCAAGATAAATAGCATAGGCCATCTCTGTCCTAAAACCCCATTAAAACTGTCCTTACTTTGTTTTCTTTTTTTACTTTCAGATTTCAAGCTTTATTTCAAGACTATAGTAATAAAAACAATATGGTATATGCATAAAAACACAAAAAACAAACAGAATAGAGAGCTCAGATTACTTTGTCTTAGTTGTAACTGTTGCCACCAAAGAAATACGGATAAGATCTAAAGACAGACAATGATAAAATCATTCATCAAAAAAAACTCAAGTATGACATCCCAGGTCATTTGGCTGTAATCAGGTGGTGAAGGTACTGAAAGTTCACCGGAAGGCAGGTTTTTAACTCAGTATTGAAAGGCCACCTACTGGTTTAAAAAAAAAAAAAAAAAAAAAAAGCTTGTATGGTAAAAATCAGTGGCCTTAGATTGGGAGTACTTAAGTATCTCCCAACAATATAATAAACACATAATTTGTTTTAATATAGCAAATCATGTAGGAATAAAAAAGACAGCATTCTTGTATGTATTGTTGTAGATTTCATAAATAAATGCTAAATAATTTTAAAGCAAAAAACAAGAAGGGAAAAAGACATTAGTGAATGGTAAACAGAGAGTCTTGCCAAGTTATAATGACATGGTGAGGGATGAGGGAAGGAGGTGCACAGACTATGTGGAAATATAAGTGTTTATTATTAATTTTTTAAGTTTCATTGTATGATGTTCCAAGGAGAAATTTTGAAGTATCTGTGGAATGTCTAGTGTTCTCCTGTCATGAGAAATAAAGGATTTTATGGAGTTTCAAAATTGTTTCTGCATTCAAAAGGATCTTAACATGTGCTATCAAACATTCAACCATGTTTCAAAGTTGTAGGTTTCTTTTTTTTTCCCTTGTTTCCCTCAAGAGACATTATAGTTATCCTATCTGGGTTTTTTTGTTTGTTTGTTTTGCTTTCTGTTTGTTTCTTTGTTTTTAATACCCGGCTGTGACAAAGTCTTATAAAATAATACAATACATTAAATGAATCCTACTAAGTAATAACGTGATTTTATGGCAATCAAAACATGATTTTATGGCAAAAGATAAATATTACAAAATACCACATCTGACAAAAGGACAATGCCAGAATCATCCCTACTTTAATTTCATGTTAAAAATATCCCACAAATGCAGTGTCACTTATGTGACCTTTATATTTGTGGTATTTTAATCTATTCTGAAGGAGGAGAAAAAAATTCTTATCCCTTAGGAACCTACTTTTTTTCCTAATATTTTATAACATGATTTTTTTTCTTTATGGTAAAAATATATCTTGATTCTGACAGTTATTTTTATTTTTCTTCAAGTACAAAGAAAAAGAGTTTAATTCAAAAAATAAAACCAAATTGTATATTTTAAAATTTATTGCAGTTCTCTAACTTCTGTAGACTCCACTAGAATGTGCACTTCTTAAAGTCAAGGGTTTATCCTGCTCCACTGCTATTTTTCTACTGCCTAAAATAGTGCTTATGACTTATAATAAGTGCTCAATAAATATTCATTGATTAACTTAGTGACCAGAAGTGTATAAACAACTTTTGTTGTGATTGTTGTTGAAACACGTGACTGGGGAGTCATCTGGTTTTAACAGATATTTGAGCTCATTTTCAATCTTCAAAAAGGAGGTCTATATTTTAGCAAATGGCATGTAGTAACATGACAGTTATTAAGTAACAAACAGTAACATTAAGTAACAGACAGTTATCAAGAAAGTCAAGTCTACTTGTTAGGTGCATTTAGAAGTGGAGTGCTGTCCTAAACTACAGATCCAGTGTGCCTCAGGAAATCCTAAGTATCTGGGTACCCACCCTACCAAAGCTTGTACTCCCACCCCCACTTTGTTTCTCTGGCCTAACAGAGTTCTTGCCTCTGCATTCTTTCCTGGCTCTTGCCTTTGATAGCTAAGAGTACTGCCATCTGCAGCTTAACCACAGCAGGAATTGTGTCTAGCTCTTCCTGGTGGGGTGGTCCAAGCTTACAAGATAGGAATAACATCATGTGTTTGTAATCTGTGCAGGTGCACCGGACCTTGCTCTTTAGAAAGACCCTGCTATTGGTTCACTGCTCTGTTGTCATCATCTCCAAACGCTTAATAATTTTTTGATCAAGGAATCCCACATTTCATTTTGCAGTGGGCCCTGCAAATTAAGTAGCTGATTCTGCCACAATCTCTGTGCAGCTGACTAATGTATAGCCTAGGGTCTTAAGGGCTTAGGATCAACATTTACAACTTCCTTGAGTTCCTGAAGTAAAATAGGTCACTTCCCTAAGTTTCCTTAACTCAAAAAGAGAAATAGTACCTGTTCCTCTGTACTTCACAGGTATATAAAGGAAAGAGCTTTGACCCCTTGCAAAGAAAAAAAAATGTAAGCATCCATTACTTCTCAGTATTTCCTCAGCTTTCATGCTTCACTAAAATGACAGTGGAGGATAAAATATTTATTTCATGTTTCAGAAAAACAGTACTATACTGAAATTGTTTCTTAAATAAATACAGTCCTTTTTCCTTCTCCTTTCCCCCAACTTTCTCATCTTATAATACCAGCTGTAAACACTGGCTAATATAAAAAAGTTCCCTGCAGAAAAACTGAGATAAAAATTATGTGAAAAAGTATTTGGTCTATCTCCAAAACTGGGGAAAAAATAAACTCGCAGCTTGGAAGTTTAAGAAAATCCATTAATATATACAACTTATAGCATAAATGACTTCATGTACATAAAAATGCTCTGTATATACTATATCTATGTATATAAGCAGACATATATACATACAAACTATAGGAATATAAGGCATCTTTAATGGGGAAAATATCACATGACCTCAATCCCTACTGCCAACTGGCTTACAGCATAAAATATCAACAAATGTGAATAAACCATAAGATCTTAGTCCATAATTACTATAGAGAAATACTACTTTTTACATAAAATTTAAAAATCCAATGAATAAAAAATTGGAAGTTGGCAAACAAAATTGGAAGTTGGCAAACAAAAAATATAAAGGTAAAAAAAACTTTATATCTTAAAGATCATAGTTATATAGGACATTGTATTTATTAACATATTGAAAATATGTAAATATTATGGAGGAGAAGAATTTGGATTCCATATAAGAGAGATCTAATTATTCAATAGTATTTTTCACCCCATATATTTAAGTGAAAAATTGAAGAACTAAAAAGTGAAATAAAACAATTCAGGAGAGCTGGGTCTGAGCATGCTGGATCATGCCTGTAAACCCAGCACTTAGGGGCTGAGGTGGGAGCATTACTTGAGGCCAGACTTTTGAGACCAGCCTGAGCAACACAGAAAGACCATGTCTCAAAAAAAAAAAAAAATAAATAAAATAAAATAAAGTAAAATAAGAGGCATGGGTTTTTTTTCTTTCAGAATTTTTAGCCACAGAGATGCATAAAGACCCCAAACAAAAATGTGCCAGTCTACAATATAATAAAATAGTTAAGATTTAAAAGCTAATTCCTTTGGCATGGGAATCAATATACTAGTTGCCATAATAACTAATTACCTAGATAAGACTAAATATAAATGATAGTTACAAAATGACAGTCCAAGTTATAGTTAAACAAATTTAGAGATTATCCTTTATTGTCATCTGTAATGCCTTGATACTTGAGGAAAATTGGAAGAGCCTAGAAGGACAACACATTCCTAGCTTAAACTAATTAATGCAATTCAGCTTCATCCAGTGAATACTGAGTGAGTGATATGTGAAAGGGATTCCCTGCATAAAGATGAGTAATAAACACTCCTATCCCCAATACCACTCTAGTTTACCTAGAATATGGCACAATGTTCTATTTTATTTTTCTTTTTAGGGTTGGAACTCACAGATACATAAGGAGGTTAGGGAGAAGAGAACTCAGTGTTGCCCTGTTACAACGAAAAGCAACACCAGGAAGAACTCAGCCAGAGCCCACAGAGGGAGCATTTAGACCCAGTCCTAGCGAAAAAGGAATTGCCCATTCCAGCAGTCAAAACCTAAGCCCCAGCAAGCCTTGCCATTTTGGGCTAAAGTGCTCTGGGATTGTAAATAAACTTGAAAGGCAGTCTAGGTTTAAAGGACTGAAATTCCTTGCAAGTCCTGGTGCTGTACAGGGCTCACAGCCAGTGACATGGGGGGCACACACCCCAGTGAGACACTAGCCAGAGCAGCCAAGAGAGTGCTTGCACCACCTCTCTACCAAGCCCAGGCAACACAGCTCACAGTTCTGGGAGAGACCTCTTCCTTCTGCTTGAAGAGAGGAGAGGGATGAATAAAGAGGACTTTGTCCTGCCTCTGGGATGCCAGCTCAGCCACAGTAGGATAGGGCCCTGGGCAGAGGCCTGAGGCCCTGATTCTAGGCACTAACTGTCGAATGACATTTCTAGACACACCCTGGGCAAGCAAGAAACTTGCTGCCTTGAAGAAAAGGACCCAGTCCTGGCAAGATTAATCATCTTCTGACTAAAGAGCCATTGGCCCTTGAATAACCAGCAGTGGTACCCAGGCAGTACTCGCCATGGGCCTTGGGTGAGATGGAGAGATGTTCTGGCTTTAGGTGTGACCCAGCAAATTCCCATCTGTGGTTGTTATGGAGAGGGACTCCTTCTGCATGAGAAAAGGAAAGGGAAGAGTGAATGGGACTTTGTCTTGCAGATTACATACCAATTCAGCCACAGTGGGGTAGAGCACCAAGCAAGGTTCCCTGATTCCAGGCACTGGCTCTCAGATGACATTTCTTGACACTCCCTGGGCCAGAGGGGAATGCATTATCCTGAAGTAAAAGTCCCAGGCCAGGAAGCATTCACTACAAGCTGACTGAGGAGCCCTTGGACCTTGAATGAACATAGGCAGTAGCTATGCAGTACCTCACTGTGGGCCTGAGGTGGGTTATATTAGTTGCAAGCCTCACTGTAACCACAAATCAGAAAACATACAACAGATACATAAAAAATAGAAAAAGAAGAAATTAAAACATACCCCCAGAGAAAATCACCTTCACCAAAAGGAAGACAGGATGGAAGGAAAGAAGAAAGAGAAGACCACAAAACAATCAGAAAGCAAATAAGAAAATGGTACCAGAAAGGCCATACTTATCAGCAATTACATAGAATGTCAATGAAATAAACCATCCAATCAAAAGACATACAGTGGTTGAATGCAGAAACAAAAAGACCCAACGATCTGCTGGTTACAAGAAACACACTTCACCTATGAAGATACACATAGACTGAAAATAAACAGATGGAAAAACATATTCCATGCCAATGGAAACCAAAAAGGAAGAGGAGAAGCTATACTTAATATCAGACAAAATAGATTTCAAGACAAAAACCATAAGAAGAGACCAAAAAAAAATCAAATCATATTGTGATAAAGGGGTCAATTCAGCAAGATGATATAACAATTGTAAATATATATATACCCAAAACTGCAGCACACAAAAATGTAAAGCAAATATTATTAGGGCTAAAGAGAGAGAGAGAGACTTAAATACAACAATAGTTGGAGATTTCAACATTCCACTTTTAGCATTGGACCGATCTTTCAGACAGAAAATCAAGAAATAAACATCAGACTTAATCTGCACTATAGGCCAAATGGACCTAATAAATATTTACAGAACATTTTATCCAATGGCTGCAGAACACAGATTCTTCTCCTCAGCACATGGGTCATTCTCAAGGATCATATGTTAGGTAACAAAAAAGTCTCAAAACATTCAAAAACTTGAAATAATATCAAGCACCTTTCCTGACCACAATGGAATACAACTAGAAATCAATAAGAGGAATTTTGGAAACTATACAAATACACAGAAATTTTACTATATATTCCTGATAACCAGTGAGTCAATGATGAAATTTTTGAGGAAATTTTCAAACTTTTTGAAATGCATGATAATGGAAATACAACATACCAGAAGAATGAAACTAGATCTCTATCTCTTCCTAAATTAAAAAAATCAAAATTGATTGAAGACTTCATCTAAGACCTGAAACTATGAAACCTTTAAAAGAAAACACTGGAGAAACTCTCCAGGACATTGGACTGGGCAAAGATTTCTTGAGTAATATCCCACAAGCAAAAACAATCAAAGCAAAAATAGACAAATGGAATTACATCAAATTAAAGAGCTTCTGCACAGCAAAGGATACAATCAACAAAGTAAAGATCTAACCCAAAGAATGGGGGAAAATATTTGCAAACTATCCATATGACAAGAGATTAATAACCAAAATATATAAATAACTCAAATAGTTCTGTAAGAAAAAAATCTAATAATCAGATTTAAAAAATGGGCACAATATCTAAACTGACATTTCTCAAAAGACATACAAATAGCAAACAGGTATATGAAAAGGTGCTCAACATCACATCATCAGATAAATGCGAAGTAAAACTACAATGTGATATTATCTCACCACAGTTAAAATGGCTTTTATTGAAAACACAGGCAACAACCGATACTGGTGAGAACGTGGAGAAAAGGGAACCCTCATACACACTGTTGGTGGGAATGTAAGTTAGCATAACCCTTATGGAGAAAACTTTGGAGGTTCCTCAAAAGACTAAAAACAGAACTACCATATGACCCAGCAATCCTATTGCTAGACATATACTCAAAAGAAAAGAAATCAGTATATTGAAGAGATACCTGCACTTGCATGTTTATTGTAGCACTATTCACAATAGCCAAGATTTTGAAGCAACCTAAGTGCCCATCAACAGATAAATGGATAAAGAAAATGTGCTACATATAACAACGGTGTACTATTCAGCCACAAAAAGAAGGAGATCCTCTCATTTTCAACGACGTGGGTGGAGCTGAGGTCATTGTGTTAAGTGAAATAAGCAAGGCATAGAAAGACAAACTTCACACGTTCTCACTTATTTGTGGGAGCTAAAAATGAAAACTGAACTCGTGAAGATAGAGAGTAGAATGACGATTACCAGAGGCTGCGAATGAGATGGGGAGAAGTGGGGATGAGTATTGGTTATAAAAATATAATTAGATGACTAGAGTCAACAATAATGTACATTAAAAAATAATGAAAACAGTACAATTTGTATGTAACACAAAGAAAAGATAAATATTTGAGATTATGAATATCTCATTTATGCAAATGTGATCATTACACATTGTATGCCTATATCAAAATATCTCATGTATCCCATAAACATATACGCCTACTGTCTATTCATAAAAATTAAAAATAGAAAAGTTTTGTAAATGGAGAACATTACATAGACAACAATAAAAATATATGTGTATATATATGTGTGTGTATAGTGTCAATTTTATGTACAATAGCTAATATTTCTCTTCTAATAGGTCTGGGAGATACAATTATTTTTCTTTATTGCACAAATCAGGAAGCTCTATAGAAAACTGATTTGTCTAAGATTAGTGAACTTCTAGGAATCAATCCTGTTTCTTCAGTTTTATAACCCAGGGCATTTGTTTCACTATATTTAAAGTCAAAATACCAAAATGTTTGGGATAGCAAAACTATGGTAATTCACAAATTGCATGCTTACTTGGGTTCGTTTATGTATTTACTTTGGAATTCCATTATCAATTTCATCCCTCACATTTGAATAATAACTTGATGGGTAATCTAATATTTAGAGAAAATTCATAGCAAAATTCTAAAAGGTATGGGTTTTGGAAATCTGTGGACTTAATTGATTTTTCTATATGATGAATAATGTCTTTTCCCCATTGCTTTCTTTGCTATGTTTTGACTTAATCCTTTTATAAAGACACACTGGCAATAAAATACTGATAAGAATATCTCTTCCATAGCATTTTTATCTGCTCCAGTTTAAATCCTAGTCTTCTTCATTGTTATTTTCAGGTTACATGGAAGAATTCTGGCAAGTAAAGTATCACATAAATATAATTTTATTATTAGATTTATTATAAAATGATTACATTATATTATAAAGTTATCATATTATTATGTATCTTAACAAGGTCAAACATTTTAGGAAATTTATCAGGCAGCACCATAAAGAAGCCATTTTCTTCTTACTCTATTTTCTGGGAGCTAGTTAGATTTCACCTTCAAAACCTTGAACTCTATGTACCCTGAATCAAAATTGAACTTCTTATTCAAAACAGGCAAACATATATGTATATATACTCACCAACTTACATGGATAAATAGAAAAATATATCCTAGATTTTTACATGACATAAATATTTTTCATTCATAAGCAAGGGTACTTTCTAAATGATGAATAAATAATTCAATAATTCAAGAAAAGGGTAGAAGTTAAATTCAGGGGTCAAACTTCATGGGCTCAATCTTAGTTTTTTCAGTTATTAGCTGTGTGACTTTGGACAGTTACTTGATTTAATCTTTCATGCTTCAATTCCCCATCTGTAAAATAGAAATGATAGAAGAACTTATAGTACTGTGCATATTAAAAACAAACAAAAAAAGTGTGTGTGTGTGTGTGTGTGTAAAGTGCTAAGAATAGTCCCTGTCACATATTCAACATTATCTAAAACTAGGGAATTATTATGAATAGTATAATTATTATCCTCTAAAATGATAATGCAATTGTTAAGTTGTTCATTATATTTGTCAAGTTCTCTTTCCAGTAGCCTTCATGGAAGGAAAAAAATGCCCCAGTGGCTTTTATTTTTCCCACAATGCAGTGTTTCTAACTCTAAATAAAACTGAAGCAGGCTATATAAAATGTGTCAATGTGATATTAGATATTATAGCTTTTAGGTTAAAATCTAGCTTTAAAAACTTCAATTCCATATTTTTTGAAACATTTTTGACCACACAAACTTTAGGGTATCTAATGAAAGTTGAGAAACTTGTTTTATACAAAAATATACATATGTGTCTCAAAATTAAACATATACATAAATATGCAGATATATGTGTGTATGTATTTCAGGAATTAATGAATCCCTGAATGCATTCAATGAGTCCTAGGGATTATGGAGCCATGTTAAAAACCCCTATCCTATGGAAGGAGAAGTAGAATTTTGTGATAGAAATAATGGGCACCAAACTGATAACGAGTATGCCAGACTCATTAGAAACTAGGCATCTAGGAAGTATTAGAACAGGTCATCTCTATCAGTGATAGAGAGTTTATAAAAGATTTTACCCACTGTCATGAACACCCAAATCCTCAGCCTTCCAATGACCATGGTAGTGGACATCTAATTACAATCTCTAAAGTGAGACAAAGCTAGGCAAACCTACAGTGTGTATTATTTGAAGGTTCTGTTTCTCAAATACATACGCAGAGCCCCTATTCAAGGTAAGGACTCCTTTTGTGGCTCTAGCTCAAACAGTGCATTAGCCTCTCTTAAAACTTTCCCCACTGCCTAGGAATAGGTAGAATACCTATATGACCTAGTTTTTCTATAGCCACTGCTGAATTATCAATAGCATCCCCATTCATTCTCAAAAGTATCTGGTTTGGACAATAAATTACAAAGTCACTGCAAATGTACAGGCAAGAAATGGGAAACTGAAAAGAATGTAGAGGAAAGTAAAAATTTTCTCCCTCAGTACTAGAATAGGATTGTTTAAAATACAGCTTGTGGGCCTTCCATTCAAAATGCAATTTGACTTTCTAAGAAGAGCAAGTGCCTCCCACCAGTAGCAAGATGACCAAGCTTTTCCCTCTGCCACATCAGTGTGGGTGAAGGAAGACTTCCACCAAAGTGGCTTCTAAAAGAGAAGATACTTGGGTATCAGCAGTCCTTAACACTTCACTATATTGCATAAATATCTCTATCCCCTAACAGTATATCCTTAATGTCCTCCTCCTGAGGCCCGAGGCCGTAATAGATGGAGGTTATTTTCCAGTCAGCACAATAAGCCAACCCCCACAATATCTGTCTCACCCTGGTTAATGTCTTGAGTCTAAACTCCTGTGATGTTCCCTGTTAAACTATCTGCCTATGACACTGCTGGGGGTTCATTAATGTCACTGTTGAAAAGCTTGCCCACTGTGTTCCCCTGGCATAAAGAATAAATGTTTTTAAAAACATGCACATAAAAATACTCCATTTAGATTTCCTAAAAAAAAAATGATTCAAGTAGAAGATAAATCATGCTCTATGATTAACTCTTGCTAACAGGTAGTACCAAATGGCAAAGAGCTCTGCTTAAAAGAATAATTCAGGTATCATTCATATAATAAAAAGATCTGAGAAGTGCAGCAGAGCTAGCACAAAAAAATATTTACACTATTAATGTGCTGTCATTGCCATCCAAACATTTGAGGAGGATCTTCCCCTCTATCATTTCCAGAATTATCACATTATAGTCTCTCTCACTCACTTAAATAAAGACATAAAATACAATCACCACCCACACAGCACTCTCCAAGCTAAAGCCAGTGGGAGTGTTGACTATGGTAAGATTGCAGAAGCTAAGGTGCCAAATCTCATTTACAATGCACTCCCTCCACATTTCTTCGAAAGGAGCTGGGTTAGGCTCTTAAGCAGAGGCTCTGCGACATTCTTAATTTATTTTCCCTCCAATATCCTTTTTATCAGTAAGTGAGAATAGCAGTATGCATCTCCTGAGTTTTTCAAAAGAAAATGAGGAAAGAGATACCCAGTTCTATACATGTTTGGAAAGAGGAAATGGTTTTGTTTTGTTTTGTTTTAACCAGGTATCTTAGGAATTGAATATCTTTAACGCAGCACACCAATAGCAACCTCCTAAAAAGGTATATTAAAAATCAAAACAAAAAATTCCTCAGGAAGAAGGCTTGTTTTGCAAAGATAAACCTTTATTGCTAAAAATCAATAGAATTTTAGAGATCTTAGAATATTATAATTGTTGCCATATCAAGGAATATTCCTTTGAGCTGCTAAGTAGTTTTCACTATGTTCATCAAATTACTTTGCTGATAAGAAAATCTGGGCTTTTCAAAAGTGTTGTGTCATTATCAAAAAACCTGATTTTTCAAAGTTAAATGTGGAGTGTCATTCTTACAAAGCTGTAAGTATTGGTACTAGTATAATTTGTTCTTACTAACATTTATTGAGTATGTCTATATTCTGCCTACTTTGCTGCATTACTTTAAACCCAAGACAACACTATGATATAAGTGATTTTATGAATCCCATTTAATTGCTAACAAAAAGCAAGGATAAATTATCTGCCAAGCTCATACGGGTATTAAGTGATGTATCTTTTAATTTCTGTGCTATACTAACATCTTGGAGAAGAAAATTAAGGTATTTTAAAGATGTATTTTAACACTAAAAAGAAACATCTAGTTTAGTGTACATGAAATGTCATCTTTTTAGGGTGGCATGCAACAGATTTATTTATAAAAAATGAAGAGAACCGCTAAAATATACAACAAGAATGAAAACCAGTTTAAGCCAAGGGCACAGATAATCATAGAACAAAAAATTGGGGTCCTAAATAATACCGATTGCAATGTTTGTAGTGAAGAAAGTGAGACTTTCACTCTGCCAAAATCAGATCACATACTCCAAGAACATTTAGTTTGGTGTAAGTTTTAAAAGGGATACAGAGAAGTGTTGCCAAATGGGGGCCAGCATAACTTAGTGGTTAAGAATGTTAATTTTGGTACCTGATACCTGGGTTCAAAGTGGAAATCTACTTACTAGCCATGGCCCTCAGCAACTTATCTCTCACTGCTCCTACTCTCTCAGCTGAACATTGAGAATAATAATAACAATAATAATAATAATAATAAATTTTCAGGATTGTTAGGAGGATTTAATGAGAACAAATGTTAGTAAAAGAGAAGCATTCAATTAATACTAATTGTTAATATATTCAAAGAGACAGTTCAGAAAATTGAGATCTGAAATATCACAACGTGAGAAACAGATGAATAGAACTTAGAAAAGTGGGCAACTTAACTTCCATGGCCTCCAGAATCACAGACTTTTAAATAGCTAGACAGAAATTACAGTAAAATAATTCCAACCAAAAAAGAAAGAACATTGTGAGAATTAGAACTTCCCCTAAGACACAATAGACATCTTCAAAATTAGGCATTGACTTAGTAGATAAATTGTAGAGGAGCTTAAAAGAGGCTTGATCAAGATATCTTTTCAGCTTCCTTTAAAATTTAAGATTCTATGAAAAAAAAAGACCTTAGAAAATCATATGAAGCAACTTCTCTTACTGTAGAAGTCTGCTTAGGTAGAAAAACCAGTCAACAATGTCTCATCACCTCATCTTTGAAGCCTAATATTTTCTAGAATTTCTAGCCCACACTGATAATTCTCTGAATTGCTAGCATTCATGTAAATAACACATGAGTGTTTACATTTTAAAAATATGCAGTTTTATAATACGTCTAGCTTTTCCTATTGATTTTTCAAAATTCCAAATCAATGATCAATGCTGGATGACTAGAGATCATGCAATATATTGCTCTTCTTTACCTTATGGTACTTACCACATTGATGGACAGAGAAGCTAATGCTAAGCAAATAGTGATTTTCTGTTCAGACCTAAAGCATACTGTTGAACAGAAATTTCAATATAAATCCAAGAAATTTACTTTGAACAATTGTACTTCATTTGTATAACCAAAAGTTGAAGAACAAAGTTATCTAGGTATTTCAGAAGTTAAAATATGTCTGTTTCCAACATTTGCACAAATAAATAGACTTAATTACAAGCCAATCCTTCATCAATATAGTTTTTTTTTAATTTTGAGAAAATGGTAAAATGTTATCAGTAGTAACATTTCTCACACCAGAAGCATATCTATGTTGCTTTTTTAAAAATTAAATTTCCTGGAAAAAATGTGCACTGCAGAATGCTTATTGTATTATGCATGGCTTGCATGACGTGTTTCAAAATTAGAATAATTGCTTTCTTCATTTATACCTATAATAAATAAATACACATTAATTTAGTTTAATAGTTGATTGATTATATATAATTCATCCTATAGATGCCTACTATTTCTCTGTATAAATCAAAGTCACTTTCTATGACGCTTGTTCTACAAAAGTAAAAATCAAAATTTAAATATGCATTCCTTTTACTTCCAAAAAAGTAAAGAACCCTCAATGTAATCTTCCTCTTTAAAAAGAAGTCTGTTTGAACTGCTGATCCTTTAAAAAAAAATTGACACTATTTTGATTTACAAAGAAATAGTTTTTTTTCAGAGTTTTAATTTAGTAAAACATAAAGGCAAAATAATATATGATTATACTAATAAATGATTGCATTTTTATTTTCTATATCTATCTGATATAGGGACATAGATGAATAGACAGATCACAGTCTCAAAGCAGTTAAGATAAAGGCATTTAAACAAATACTAAGATCAAATTCTCAGAAGTACAGACCTCTCCAAAAAAATAAAGCCTTGTAGTAAAAACTTAGGAGTTTCTGAATCAGAATGCCTAGGTTTGAATCTAGGATCCATCAGTTAAGTAAACTTCAACAAGCTACTTAATCTTTCTAAACATCAGTGTTCCCACTTCTGACACATGATTTGGCTCTCTATCATTGGTGTATAAGAATGCTTGTGATTTTTGCACATTGATTTGCGTCCTGAGACTTTGCTGAAGTTGCTCATCAGCTTAAGGAGTTTTGCGGCTGAGATAATGGGGTTTTCTAAATGTACAATCATGTCATCTGCAAACAGAGACAATTTGATTTCCTCTCTTCCTGTTTGAATACCATTTTTTTTCTCTTGCCTGATTGCCCTGGCCAGAACTTCCAATACTATGTTGAATAGAAGTGGTAAGAGAGGGCATCCTTGTCTTGTGATGATTTTCAAAAGGAATGCTTCCAGCTTTTACCCATTCAGTATGATATTGGCTGTGGGTTTCTCATAAATACCTATTATTTATATTTTAATTTTTAATCCAATGATTCTCTTACACACACACACTCACACACATATATACAATCACTAGAATAAAGTGTTACAAAAATACTTATTTTTACCATGAGTGATGCATTCTACTTTTCTTTTCCAGATCTTTCTTATTAAAATGCTATCTGTTCCTCATTAAACTGTAAAGTTAATTTCTCAAGAAAAAGGCATAACCTGTAGTTTTAAAAACACTAACTTTATAATACATTTCTGAAGGAAGTACTGTTTGTTCTATTTTACACAAAAGAAAACTGAAACTGAGAAGAATCATGTAACTGTTGAATTCCAATGTCAGATCTGGGACTTTAATTCAGTTCTCATAGACACCGAAATCCATATTTTTATCTGCTGTACTATCTTGTGTCAATCATTGACCATTTATGTCTCATTTTAATTTAGGCTTTGCAGAGGAACTTATCAAGCTCCTTTAATTCTTATGGTAGTTTATCTTTCTGTCTCTTTGCATCTGTATTATGGAAACCTTATAATTCATTGCCTCACATTTAGACTATTACAACAGATTCTTCCATTCTTCAGATCTGCCCACTCCCATTCGTCCCCTAGGTAAGTTATCATCTAGATCAAAGAGAAAGAACAATTCCTCAGTTACATTTATTTATGTTCTTTCAGTCCCAGGCACAGGTCTGAACACAGAATATCGGCTTAATAACTACTTAAAAGTTGTTCTCTTGAGTTCATTGGATTTAGTTCAGTCTTTGGATCAAAGTCTGCAGAATCTAGACATTCCATCAGATTTACTGGGAATAAACTGAAAGGAATTTAGTATCTGATCACACAGTAAGAATTCTGCTGAGAAGAAGTGAGACTGTAGGACAAACTTTATCAAGTAACTTACTGTTGAGTCAAAATGAGAGCGGAATTCTCAAGACTCACATATGTTTATTACACATCTTACTATTATTCCAATACAAGTTAGGCATGAGATTATTCCCCCAAATTATCATCAGTAATAACATTTTCATTCAAGTCAAGCAGTAAGAAATTCTGGAAGCAATGTGCTTGGTTTTAATCCCAGCTGATAGATATCTCCTGCCACTCACCCCAGAGAAAACCAGGCTAGTTAACCTGCCCCATCTCCATCCCACAGTGTTTTACCCCACACAGGGTCCTAGTCAGAATTCCAACCCGGACAAGAGAACCAATATAAAAACAGGGCTGATATGGTTTGGCTGTTTCCCCACCCAAATCTCATCTCCAGCTGTAATCCAAATTGTAATCCCTACATGTCAAGGGCAGGGTAGGGGTGGTCCTGGTGGGAGGTGATTGGATCGTGGGGACAGTTTCCCCATGCCGTTCTCATGATGGTGAGTGATTTCTCACAGGATCTGGTTGTTTGATAAGTTTCTGGCAATTTCCCCTGCCTCACTCTCTCTCCTGCTGTCTTGCTTCCCCTTCTGCTGTTATTGTAAGTTTCCTGAGGCCTTCCCAGCCATGTGGAACTGTGAGTCAATTAAGCCTCTTTTCTTTATAAATTACCCAGTTTCACGTATTCTTTATAGCAGTGTGAAAACAAACTAATACAAAGGCTATTTACAGCAGAGAAAATCTGTATTAGCAATATTGGTGATAAAATAATCTCTCAACCTAGAAATGTTTCCTATAAAAGTAGTAGAGAAACAAAAAAAAATCATTATTGAATAAGAATTAATCTAGAATGTGAGCATATCACAGGCAATCCACAAAGAGATTGCAAAGACAGAAAGAAATTTTATATAGCCAAGCAGATACAGCCCATTACACACATATTATCAAGATAAATAATAACTAGTCTTCGAGTAAGAGGGCTTGACAGCACCACTTTAACTTTACCAGCTAACTGGGGTGACCATTTATTTTAGCTAATTGGAATTGGCTTTACTTAGAAGAGAAACAAACATCTTTTTTTTTTAATGATGTTTACATTTCAAAGAGACAGCTTCCAGGTCCTTGAGAGAGACATTCCTGGATGATTAAGCTGAAAAAATCTTGCCTAGGTTTCAAAAGGATGTATTTTTTTTTTTTAGAAATAGTATCAAGTATGTATAATTACAAGTTTTCTAAAGTAAATGCTCAAAATAAAAGGGGGGGAGGGGAATCTCTTATTTTCATAAAGCATGGATCTAGCTTTTTAAAATTGCATTTTATTTATTTTTCTAAATGGCTGTAAAACTGTGGTCCTACCACTATTGAAAAATTCTTTTCACCATGATCTGAAATTCCGCATTTATCATAAACTACCTTCACATATGTATTTTTGAGTTTTATATTCCATCCTAGCTCTATCAAATTCATTGATAAACCCATAGTATTTTTTAAATTTCAGCTGCATAATAGGCTTTAATATTTTAGAATGCTATTCTTTCTCATTATTCTTCTCTTACTGAAGATTCCCAGATATTCTGAGATCTTTTATTTTCACAGAATTCATTTAAAAGCAACTTGTCTAGATCCAACAATCCCCATAATTTTAGATATCTGTTTCTAAATAGATATTCGGGTGTAGTTACAGATATAAATATCTTGGAAGGAGGCATGCAAGAGACTTCTAGATATTACCTAATTCAGTATCTCATCTTTAGGGTGGATTAAATATCTTTCTAAATCTATGACCCTCAGTTGTATTCTTAATGATTCCTAAGACTACATGGTAGATGTTGACATTTAGTTAGCAATCGGCAGAAAGGCTTTTACAGATTACATTTTTAAAAACCAATCCGATGTATTTTTAGAGGGCTGTAATTAGAAGGCATAAGTACACAAATGATCAAAGTTATCAAGTTATCAATTTACTGAAATCAAACTTTATGCTTTATTATTCATCTGGGTCTGCTGTCCATTTAAATTTAGTGAAAAAAATAATCCAAATTAAAATAATTTGATGAGAAATACTACAGAATAACTAGTATACTTTTAATGTAAGCATATAGAGTTTTTAAAATTTATCTTTTTAAAAATTAAAATGGCATGTACATGGTTTTAGAAGCTTAATAGTGGTACAAGACTTATAATAGTTTACTGCCCTAGTTCTCCTTACCCTTAGGCACTTTCCCCAGAGGTAATTAATTCCATTCTTTTTGCTGGTTCTGCTGGAATTCACTTCCAGAGTTGTTAAAAAAAAATGCTTTTAGTCTGGGAGCAGTGACTCTGGATTGTAAATCCTAACACTTTGGAAGGCCAAGGCAGGAGGATTGCTTGAGCCTAGAAATTTGAGGACCAGCCTAGGCAACATAGCAAGACCCCATCTCCACACACACACAAAAATTAGACAGGTGTGGTAGTGAACACCTATAGTCTCAGTTATTGGCAGGCCAAGGCAGGAAGATCACTTGAACCCGGGATGTTGAGGCTGCAATGAACCATGATTGCACCACTACACTCTAGCCTGGACAACAGAGTAAGAATTTGTTTCAAAAAAAAAAAAAAAGAGTTTTTAGTGTGCTTTCTTATTCTTTATTTATCCTGTTATTGATTTATCCTCCTATTGTTATATAACACTTCATAAACGAAATGATACTTGAATTGAATTTTGAAAGATGAGGCCTTCTCCAGGTCTTCAGTGGGAATTTGGGATGGGAAAGGCAGACTAAGTGTAAGGAGCAATATGAACAGAGGCACATACAGAAGTACCGTGGACACCATTTGAAACTCCTATAGGAATCTCCAAATGCAACGCTTAAATTATTGATCAATCAGGAACCATGTATGTGTAAGCAGAGAAAGGAGAGAGCTGGTATGTATTATATGATATTTAATAGCCAGTAAAATCTGCAAATAAATATATGCAGGGTATATACAGGAACTGTTCTGGCACCTCCTGGTTGTTGGCTTATTCATTCAAACCTTTAGCTCAACAAAAGAATGTTTAAACAATGACATGGAAACAAAAAGTAAACTAGCATTGTTTGCTAATTTATAGGACTCAACAAACAGTTTGTGTGCTAAAAAAACCTTTGTGAAGACATCTGCTGCACTGAAATACAGACAATTTGGCCAAGAACAGGGTAGACAGCAAGAGCTTACATGTCTAATCAACTAATTGTTGCCCTTGCTTACTTAGGATCTAGCATCTACCCTACAACATAGTAAACCATAATAAATATTTATTAATTGAATAAATAAATGATCATATGGGCAAATAAGTATAATCACAGCCCTAAACCAAAGAAAACATAATGGAGGTTCTGGGAAGAAGGCATAAGGAGAAAAAAAATTCTAGCACAAGGCGAGTGGATTACCTGAAGTCAGGAGTTCAAGACAAGCCTGGCCAACATGGCGAAACGTCACCTCTACTAAAAATACAAAAATTAGCTGGGCGTGGTGGCATGTGCCTGTAATCTCAGCTACTCGGGAGGCTTAGGCAGGAGAATGGCTTGAACCTAGGAGGCAGAGGTTGCAGTCAACTGAGATCACACCACTTCATTCCAGCCTGGGTGAAAGGGCGAAACTCCATCAAGGGGAAGGAGGGGAAGGAAGGGGAGGGGAGGGGGAAACCTACATCTTCAGGAGTAATAGCAACACTACAAATCCATGGGGAGTTATTTGAAGAAACATATCCTAATTTGGGAAGAGGCAAGTCAAAGAAAGTAATTAAAACTATTCACTAAAAGAAATGGGAGGGTTACCTCAATTCAGTGGAACAGTAATTAGTAGGATCAACCATAGAGATATATAGTGAGCTCTCTATTCATATATGTTAAGCCTTGAATACAGGTCAACTTCTATCTCCGAGGGATGAATAATGAACGCTGTAAACTCTAACAAGTTTGGATCTGAAATATGAAATCTCTTGGCACGATTATGAGATGGGGTGGAGGAGCCAATCCTGCAACAATGGTCTGGGCAGAAGTTCATGCAAATATTCATGATGTTTTAATGAAAATGTAATGTTGCCAATGCTAACTTCACACATGCAGTCATATTACCATGACAACCATTAGCTCTCTAGAGTTCAGATATGGAGTAATGACTTGCTTAGGTCTGAACATTTAACTTAACAGTTTTTCATGCTGCTAACAATGATTAAATTGAAAAAGAACTCTGAGCCAAATCTGACAGATATGGGAAAAATTCATTTCTGAAAGCAATATCTAAAATAATTGCTGGCTACATTTGCTTCCTAATTCTGAGAGAAAAAAAATTCCAAACTGTGTGGCAATACAAAAGCCTTGTTTATGAGTTTTTGGGTGGTGAATGCTAGAATTATTAAGTGAAGATGATTTTGCAGCATGAACTTGAATAATAATTACAACCAGGGCAGTATTTGAAACACTTCACTGACAACTACTTCTCCGGGAAAGGAGAGACCCAAACCAGGTCAATTAATTACATCTCTAAAGAAATCTTTTCTCCTGGAAGACTTCTTGTTTTTAATTCATGCCACATCACTGGCACATTGCTGAGTAGTAAATCACACCCTTTAAACACTTATCATGTTCCTGGTCCCTTGAGTGCCATCTGTTGACTTTTAAAACATAAACGACTGCCAGGTACTGACATAATTTAAGGGGCAAGAGAAAAACAGGTTTTACTTGTTTGTGTTTTTTACAGCTGAGACTGAGCAGGTTTATTGGCACATGGAGAAAGGTAGCAGTATTTCATGCTCCCTAAACTTAGTCTCCATTAGCACTTACTCAGGATACCTCATAAAACAAAATACACTTTATGATTAATTACATGGGATGGGAGTTACATGGGGTAGAGCAATGAGAAGAGGGTAAATGACTCTCTGTTATCTATTCAGGGTCTGAAACAAAGATATTTGTAGAAAATTAAAGTTGAACTCACTCATCTCCAAGGGCAAGGAAATCCAACTTGATAGTGGTGTGGGGGAGACAGGAAAGAGAAGAAAACGAGGAGAGATTTTTGGGAAGGAAACTGACATTTGTGACAGGGTTAAGTTTTCAAATACAGCTCAGTGTTTTAATATAAGATCTTGATTAATCTTTACCTCAGCCCCAGGACCCAGAATGATTGTACAGATCACTTGCTTCCTGCATTTGGAGGCCAGTAGTCTTGTACCCTGAGTATGAGCACCAGAAACAAGAAACTATCTTTTTACTTATGCAAAAGAGTCATTTTCTTGCCAAGCCATTAGCTAGAGGGACTGCATTAGCTCAGAGTCGATGCCCTTTACTAATTCATGCAAAACTTCCTGAAATGTTAGTGGCAGTCTCCTTTCTCCAACAGGTTTGTACTGTTACCCCAATTTAAGACATAAAGAAACCAACTGCAGACAGATTAAGTACATTACTGAAAGTCATTTAATAAACTAAGAGTTAATTTTAATATCTCAGTATGTCTACTTTCAAGACTCTTACTCTTACCATTTGGCCATGCTTGATAAGTCTGGGCCTTCGGTAACCAAGTCTCTGGATGGAATGAACTGCTTCCTAACTACAGCTGATGCTGCCCATATATAGGTGTTTAATTAAAGCCTGGAAGCCAAGACTAGTGCCTACCTCTTCTGTCCCTAGATTATTTCCCAGGCTTAGTAGTACCCCAGAATACTTCAAACATGTTGACCTATCCTCCCATTGAAGGCATTTATTATTTTCATTTCTACATTGAGCCCATCTTTATCTCATGTAGCTCCTTACAGTGAGGTCACCCAAGGATTCGTTGGCACAAATGGTAAGTCGGTAACTATGCCATAGGCCAGTTTGCATTCCTTTCTTCAATTGTCAGATTCTTTTATTAGAACAAATTTACTACGTTCTAGGAACCTCTCACTGGGTATATGCCATACACATCTCTCTTTACTTCAATTGTCCCATGCATCTGATTAGATTATTAATGTTTACCATCACAAATCATAAGTGCAAAGAGGCAGGAAAAATAGATACCAAGGAATTAACACTCTCAGTTTTCACCTAAATTTAATTACACATCTTAGCAGGTAACTGGAAACTCAGTGCCTTTTGGCCATGCTTTAACTTTGCCTGATCACCAAACTTAACATACTATCTCATAATTTTGATTTTCCATTTATTCCTCAAAT
Source organism: Homo sapiens (assembly GCF_000001405.40). Classification (NCBI taxonomy): domain Eukaryota; kingdom Metazoa; phylum Chordata; class Mammalia; order Primates; family Hominidae; genus Homo; species Homo sapiens. Next base: position 49,281,976 of record NC_000011.10, on the reverse strand, counting down.
GCATCATAAATATTTAACAAATATGTATTAAGTGCCTGTCATATGCTAAATGCTGTATTTCTGTGCTAGAAATAAACAGAAATAAAAAAATCACGGGTCCTGCTCTCAAGAAACTTAATTTAGTGAGAGAAACAGATATGAAATAAATGCATATATAACTGCACAATTACAAAAAAGAATTTCAAGAAGAATAGAAAAAGGAATTCAGAAAGAGAATGAGAGGAAGGAGTCTATTTTAAATGGATGCTATGGAAAGCTGGTCTGAGGAGATGAAGATGAGGCCTAAAGGAAGTACGAGAATTAACCAGTATATCTGGTAAATATTTAACAGCTGCTTTTCCAAGGATAAAAAAAGACCTGATTTGTACTGGTAGCTGGTTTCTGTATTATAAATATATCCACTCTGTGGCCAATTTCAAACTATCAAGGTGAGGTCACTGAATATGGATTTATGGAGACATATTAATACCAGTATTTTATATTTCTGCTATGTAAATATAATAGATGCAAATAATCTAAAGAGTATAGATAGATAATAATCAAATGTAGCAAAATAGCTAGAAATGGATAAGTTTTTAGAATGTATTACCATTGCTTTAAATGTAATTAATTATGTTTATATATTTAATTTTTAATAATTGCTGTGTTTGGCAACTGGCTTCTGAAAATTTAACAATTGAACCTCAAGAGCTGGTGTGAGATGGCTCCAGTACAACACCAGAACTTGAGCAAAGAGTGGGCAGAAAAGTAATGCAGACAGAGGAGACAATACATGGGAAGTCTCTGAATTGAGAAATAGCTTGATACATTAAACCCATTATTAGCAATCCCATCATGCTGATGCTCTCCATCTGCTATGGGTTGCCTTGTGTCCTGCAGAAATATATGTTGAAGTCCTATACCCTGGCATCTATGAATGTGACCTCATTTGGAAGTTGGGTCTTTGCAGGTATAATCGAGTTAAGATGAGGTCAGTTAGGGATTGCTCAAATCCAGTATGACTGTTGTCTTCATAAGAAAAGAGAAATTTGGACACAGACACACACACACACATAAAAGATGAACACATGAAGATAGAAACACACAGGGAGAATGCCATGTGATGACAGAGACAGAGATTGGAGCGATGCATTTGTAACCCAAGGAATGCCAAGGATCAATGACTTCTGTCAGAAGCTAGGAAGAGACAAGGAAGATTTTCTCCTACAGGTTTCACAGGGAGCATGGCCCTCCCAATGTCTTGATTTTGGGCCTTTGATTCTGGCACCTTTGGTTTTTTAGCCCCCAGAACTGTGAAACAAACAAAAATTCTGTAGTTTTACATGAGTTTTATGTCTGTAGTTTTGTGGTATTTTGTGACAGCAATTGTGATGGTTAATTTTAGATGTCAACTTGACTGGATTAAGGAGTACTTAGAGAACTGATAAAGCATTATTTCCATGAGGTATGTCTGTGAGGGTGTTTCTGAGGAGACTGGTTCATGAATTGTGAGTTGGTTGACTGAATGGGGAAAGATCTACCCTCAATGTGTGTGGTTAACATCCAAACGGCTGTGGACCCAGGTAGAACAAAAAGCCAGAAGAAAGGCAAATTTGCTCTCCCTCTTTCTCTCTCTCTTCTGGAGCTGGGACACCCTTCTTCTCCTGCCTTTGGACATCAGAACTCTAAGCTCTCTGGTCTTTGGACTCCAGAACTTACACCAGCAACTCCCTGAGTTCTCAGGCCTTTAGCCTCAGATTGAGTTACACCATTTGTTTACCTGGTTCTGAGGTTTTCAGAGTTGGACTAAGCGATGCTATCAGCATTTCAGTGTTTCCAGGTTGCAGAAAGCCTGTCATGGGAGCTAATTCCCCTAAAAAAATCCCATCTCATCTCATCTCTCTCTCTCTATATATATATATGTGTATATATATATATATACATACACATATAATAGATCATATATATATACACACATACACATATAATAGATTATATATATATATATCCTATCAGTTCTCTCTCCCTGAAGAACCCTAACACAGCAGCTCTAGGAAACGAAGACACCACCTCTCTTTCAAAGTTTGTTCTAGCCTATCCATAGCATCTCTTATGGTAATTCCATAAAGGATTAAAATACATTTAATCAGTAGGCAAATATATAATGATAAGCCTGCAATTCTTCAATATATAAGCAGAAGGTGGAAGAAAGCTAAGGGATATAAGGCAGATGAAGTGCAACCCAGCAGGTAAATTGCTAGGAAACATGCATTCCATCCAAATATAACAAATCACCATTTGGTCAGAAAATTATTCTTCTATCCATTAGCTAGCTGACCTTGAACAATCTATACAACTGTCTGCAATCTTACAGCACTGCTGTGATGACTGGAGCTAATTTATATGTCAAAGCATAGGTTTGTAAAAATAGTACTAAAATGACAGTGATAATAATTGCTAATGTTAAGTTATATTCAGCCAGTTGTTGAATTTCTCCAGACTTTAATTTCCTCATGTGGAATTCTTTTCACCACATTTTATAGGAATATTATTTACTAATTCATTCAATAAATATCACCTAGGCATCTCCACTATGCCAGACACTGTTGTTGGTGCCGGGGACATACAGCAGTGAACAAAACAAAATTCTTGCTCTTGAGGAGCTTCCTTTCTTGTTGGGGAGGCTGGCCACAAACAAGCAAATCCATAGAATGTCAGATGGCAATAAATGCTGTGGAAAAAAGGGGAACAGGATTGGAAAAACAGAATTGGAGGTGGTGGGAAATTGAGCAGCGGCCTTTGCTATGTTATATACCACAGTCAGAAGCAAGGTGATTTCAGAGATCATACATGAATATGCCCTGTAGATGTTTGAGGAAAGTACATCCCAGGGAAAGGGAACAGCAAGTACAAATGCTGTGAGCTGAGGCAATGCCTGTTTTGTTAGATAAACAGCAATAGGGTGAGTGTTACTGAGATCAGAGTTACTTCCAAAAACCTCCAGGCATTAGGACACTGTAATCCAAGGCATTAATTAGTAAGCACCTATATTCACTTGCTGCATGCTAAATATTCCTAACATTAGATTAATTATAAATATTCTTCTTTATAATATCTAATGAAAATCATATCAATGTAGATGTAAGTTCACATGAGACACCGAAATTAAAAATGAGAAAACAGAATTGAGACTTGGGGGAATTAGAAAGGAGTCAATGAAAAAAAAGGAGCCTTAAGAAAAACTATCGTCTGCCTAAATTCCCTGGAAGCTTTTTGTTAGATAATAAAACTATGGTTTATCCTCTCTTCTCCCTTCCCTTCTCTGCCCCTTCTTCTCCTCCCCGCCCCTTTTATCCAATCTATCCCACCCACTGATGCCAATATAAGTAACCTGCCCATATCTCTCTCTCCTGTTTAAAAATCAGCTGATTTATTCCTACTGCCTTCAGCCTAAAGTACTTAATATGGCACATAAGATAAATCAAAACTTGGTCTTTATTTCTGATACTGGTTTTTCATCCTCATAAGGCTCAAGAGTTAACCATATGAGACTATGTATTTGTCATCTGTCAAGACCTAGCTCAAAGATTCTTTTCTGAAACTGTTCCTGACATTCCTTGAAGAATGGGCTCCTCCTTCTTTCATAATTTTATGGTGTTAATGCTATTATGAAACTTTTCACCTATGCTTTGTGTATTTATGATTCTGTCTAACAATTAGATCACATGATACCATTTGGCTCTGTGTCCCCAACCAGATCTTATCTTGAATTGTAATCCCCACATGTTGAGGGAGGGACCTGGTGGGAGGTAATTGGATTATTGGGGGGATTTTCCCCCATGCTGTTCTCCTGATAGTGAGTGAGTTCTCATGAGATCTGATGGTTTGAAAGTGTGGCACTTCCCCTCCGCTCACGCTCTTTCTCTCTCTCCTGCTGCCTTGTGAAAAAGGTGCCTGCTTCCCCTTCACCTTCTGCCATGATTGTAAGTTTCCTGAGGCCTCTCCAGCCATGTAGAACTGTGAGTCAATTTAACCTCTTTTGTTTATAAATTACCAAGTCTCAGGTAGTATCTTTGTAGCAGAGTGAGAATGGACTAATACATCATAATATTCTGAAAAGAGGCCCTACATTTCATTTTCAACACTTCATTGTCAATTTGCATGGTACCTGAAACAATGGTTTAGCTTTTCATATCTTTGTTAACAACTCATAAATACTTTTTGTTAAATTACCAGAAGTTTCCACTGTTTAGATAGTTGGGAGAGGTAGTTTCCAGGTGGTAGGGAGATGATTTTATGCCACTCTTACTTCTGGCTTGGTTTCTACATTCCGAACCTGGGAAGTGGCTCCTTGGGAGATTGATATACTCCAACCATATCACTTATCTCTGCCTCTGAATCTCAGCTCCAACCCTATTTGATCTCTCTGCTATATATTTTTGACTTTCCAAATGCTTTCTGACAAGAACTTTCAAAAAAATACAGAAAAACGTGTTTTTTAAAATTCCCTGAACTCATTAAACGAAACCAAATCTTCCAGAGTCTTTAAATTTTTTATGCCAAATTTAGTAACTTTAATAGACAGTTGATCCCTGCTTTCACCTCCAAATTTTGAACAGTAATTTTAATTTTCCTCTGATTATTGTAGAAAATGAATTTATATAGTGAAATTACAATTTTGAGTGTTTGCTATATTATTTGTCTTTCTTAACATTACTTTTTTTAGTAATAAGCTTTTATTTCTAATATTAAACTTTATAATAAATAAATTTTACAGTATTTCGGAAATACAGAAAATGACACTTGCAAATTTGTAAGCTCAACTTTTCAAAACAAAAGCCTTCGATTTTCAGCTTTTATTCCTTTACATATAATTTAAATTTCTTCTAATGACATTCTGATTTAGAGGAGTTTACTGAACAGTAGCCTTGCCTTTGACATGGCAAGACCGTTTAGGTAAATAAAAGGCTTTGTGGTTGGGGAGGAACACATTTGAAAGGTACCGTATTATAAAAGATCTACTAATAATACAGAGTATGATAGAATGCACCGCATGTTTCCTTAAATTGCAAATCCTGAACTGTATTAGTCCATTCTCACAATGCTATAAAGAACTACCTGAGACTGGGTAATTTATAAAGAAAAGAGGTTTGATTGGCTTGCAGTTCTGCAGGCTATACAAGGAGCATAGCTGGGGAGGCCTCAGGAAAATTACAATCACGATGGAGGGGTGAAGTGAAAGCAGGCATGTCTTACATGACAGGAGCAGGAGGAAGAGAGCAAAGGGGCAGGTGCTATACATTTTTAAACACTCAGATACTGTCTTCCCATCTCATGCACTATCACAAGAACAGCAAGGGGGAAAATTCGGCCCCAGGGTTCAATCAGCTCCTAGCAGGCCCCTCCTTCAACATTGGGGATTATAATTAAACATGAGATTTGGGCAGGGACACAAATCCAAACCACATCGTGAACCTTGACTCTAAGAGTAGTGACAAAGTGGGTAACTGGGTAGCCTTTTCATAAAAATAAGGTGGAACTTGTTTGTTTGCAACTCAGAACTTGACACACTTGCCAGAAGATCACCATTACATTTCTTCAGGGAAATGGGAATTTTGGTTTTCTAATTTTGGAGGAGTTTGTTGTTGTTGTTTTTTGTTTTCTGTTTTTTTTATAGTTTCCCATCCCAATGTGCATAGTGGGCTCATTCTTCCCTTTGTAGCAGTTTTGCAGATTCTTCAACCAGCATTAATAGCCACTCATCTAGAACCAGATCTTTCAATTGCAGCTTAATATTTCTGTTCTGGAACTTGGAAGATCCAGTCATGGAAATATCCTGTAACTTGGCTCAGTTGTGTGAAATGAAAAATTTTCCCCCAGTTTTCTTGGCCATATTCTGAAATAAAAGCAGGATAACTTAAAAGTCTGCTTACTGATATCTAAAAATACCTGCTGGGATTTTGACTGGGATTTAGCCAGTGAACATATAGCTCAATTTGAGGAGAATTTACATCTTAAAATATTGAGTCTTCCTATTCATGAACATATATTCTGTTCTCTTTATTTAACTCTTCCTTAACTATGAACATATATAAAAGATTTCTCAATAATGATTTACAGTTTTCTCTGTTAAGATTCTTGCAGGACTATTTTTTGGTATACGATATATCAATAATATTATAATATTATGTTTTAAATTTTATTTTCAATTGTTTACCACTGGTTTATATGTAAATTTTGATATATTACCTTGCACCAACATCCTTGCTAAACTTCTTAATAATCCAGATAACTCATCTGTACATTCATTGGATATTATAGATACATAATCATATATTTTGCAGCTAATGAGCATTTTATTGCTTTCTTTCAACCTTTATAACTTTTTTCCTCTTGCCTTCCTGTTTTGACAAGAATGTATAGTATAATTTGAAAGGGAAATAATATTAGGAACTTTTTTCTAATTTCTAATCTCATTGGATAATATTTTAACAATTCATAATAACATTTGCTACAAGTTTTTGCAAAATCCTTCTATTAGATAAGAAAAATTCCATCTATTCCTACTTTGTTAAATACTGTACCATAAATGATTATTGCATTTTATCACTAGCTTTTGATTTTTATTATCAGTAGCCTTTTTTGTACATGATTTTTTCTGCTTTGATATAAAAGTTAATTACATTAATTGATTTTTCATTATTAAGCCAAACTTCCACTTCTGAAATAGAGCCTGCATGGTTGTGACAATACTGTACTTTTTATGTATTGCTGGATTTGTGCACTAATGATTTAAGACAGCTGCATCTCTGTATATAAATGAAATTAACTTATTCTTTTTTTCTTTTTTTCTTTTTTTTTTTTTTGAGACAGAGTCACGCTCTGTCACCCAGGCTGGAGTGCAGTGGCACAATCTCGGCTCACTGCAAGCTCCGTCTCCCGGGTTCACGCCATTCTCCTGCCTCAGCCTCCCGAGTAGCTGGGACTACAGGCGCCCACCGCAACGCCCAGCTAATTTTTTGTATTTTTTAGTAGAGACTGGGTTTCACCGTGTTAGCCAGGATGGTCTCGATCTCCTGACCTTGTGTTCCACCCCCTCGGCCTCCCAAAGTGCTGGGATTACAGGTGTGAGCCACCATGCCCAGCCTATTAATATACCTGTTTGCTTTTAGCATTATGTTTATGCTGCCCTTATAAAATAAATTGAAAATATTTCTAAGTTTTTCTATTCTCTAGGAGGTTTTATATAATAGTTCTCTTGAATATTTGGTAGGATTTGTTAGTGTAGGATTTCTTTCTTGAATATTTGGTAGGACTTATCAGTGAAGTCATCTAAATTTGGTGCTTTCTCTGTAGAAGACATATACATAAAAATACACATGCAAAAAAGTGAGAGGAGCCAAGATGGCTAGCTAGACACAGCAAGGAAAAGCATCTCCCATGGTGAAACCAGACCATCATGAAGTCCAGTATACTCTAAGGAGATCTTTAGAAGGAAATCATTAAGAGTGGAAAAAGGGAGCATGCAGACACTGGGCTGAAGGGGGAGGAAGCTGGGAACCCTGCATGAGACTGCCAAGCACCAGGACTTGTTCCTAGCCCCCAGTGACTCCTTGGAAGGAGTGAGTTAAATAGGTGAGAAGTGGCCCATGGACTTACCACGGACCTCTAGAATATTAACCATAGGAATCCCCATGACCGCCATATACATCCGAGCTGGCATGGAGAGCTGCTTGGAGAAGTGTCAGGGACAAGACTCCAGCCTTTGGGGAACTGGGGGGTGTTGGCACAGCATGACTACAGTAGAGCACAGCCAGGGATGCACATCCTCCAAGGCTTACCACACTCCCCTAGGTGGCTTTGGCCTTTGTTGACTGTCAGACCTGAACAGAGCAGAGCTATCTTGTCCATGGGACGGGACCAGTCTGATCTGAACACACCCCCGTTTGCTGGTCCTTCTCTGGGGCACCTCCCTGGCCACACCCATTTGCACCGCAGCCTGAGATCACCAACAGAGGCATTTTGCAGCAGCTGCCACCATAGCTACTTGGTGTGGACCCTACCTAACCATCGGAGAGCTTTAGCAGACAGGCCTGGCTGACATGCACCTGCCAGCAGCCTCCTCCACTGCTTTGCCCCCAAGCACCTGCCCATGGCCTGTTCCTACTACTATGCTATGGTGTGCACTCTGTGAACCTCACAACCCCAGTCTATTTGTTCATTCTCACACTACTATAAGGACATACCCGAGACTGGGTAAATTATAAAGAAAAGAGGTTTAGTTGACTCACAGTTTTGAATGGCTGGGGAGGCCTCAGGAAACTTACAATCATGATGGAAGAAGAAGCAAACATATCTTTCTTCACATGGTGGCAGGAGAGAGAATGAGTGCAGAGTGAAGGGGGAAGCCTCTTATAAAACCATCAGATCTCATGAGAACTCACTCACTATCACAAGAACAGCATGGGGAAACCATTCCCATGATCTAATCACCTCCCATGAGGTCCCTCCCCCAGCCAGTGGGGATTACAATTCAATATGAGATTTGGGTGGGGACACAGCCAAAACATATCACCCAGTACCACAGATGCATGCATGTGGAACTCACCACCATAACCCAGCCCCTGCTGGTGCCTATGTGCATGGAGACCCAGCCATTCCACCACCACTAGCATGAGCATGTGTACACAGACTCCATCACACTGTCATCACACTGTTGTCAGTGTGTGTGCATGTGTGGACCCTGATGCCACTATCCTGATGAAGTGCTTTTTCCAGCACCCCTTATCAGAGTATTGGTGCTTGTGGACTGGGAACATCTCTAGCTCCTCCAGCACAGCAGCTGCTTAACCTCAAGGGGACAGAAAACGAAGTTATGGGCTTGGACACTGCACCTTATGGTTAGAGCATGAAGCTCAAGAGTGCTCAGCTGAGCCTGGCCCCCCGTGAAATCATCCAGAAACAAAGCCACTCAACTGAACCCAACTTACAGCAAATCAACCCAAAAACTAGCAGAAGAAAAGAAATACTAAAATCCGAGCTGAACTGAATGAAATTGAGATTAAAATAAATACAATAGATTAATGAAACAAAAAGCGGGTTCTTTGAAAGAATAAGATTGATAGACCACAAGTTGGAGTAATAAAGAAAACTGAAGATCGAAATAAACACAATTTACCAACAACATCCAAGCTGAGAGCCAAATCAAAACACAATCCCATTCACAATAGCCACACACATACAAAAATGCCTAGGAAGACAGCTAACCAGAGAGGGGAAAGATCTCTACAATAAGAATTATGAAATACTATTGAAAGTAATCAGAGATTAAGCAAACATGGAAAAATAATCCATGGTCATCTGTAGGAAGAATCAATATTGTTAAAATGGTCATACTGCCCAAAGCAATTTATAGATACAATGCTGTTCCTATCAAACTATCAAAAACATTTTCCACAGAATTAGAAAAATATACTCCAAAATTTATACAGAACCAAAATATAGTCTGAATAGCCAAAACAATCCTAAGCAAAAAGAACTAAGCCAGAGGCATCACACTCTACTACAAGGCAACAGTAACCAAAGCAGCATGGTACAAGTATAAAAACAGACACATAGACCAATGGAACAGGATAGAGAACCCAAGAATAAGGTCACACACCTACAACAAATAACTTTTGACAAAGTTAACAAAAACAAGCAATGGGAAATGGACTCCCTATTTAATGAATGGTGCTGGGTAACTGGCTAGCTATATGCAGAGGATTGAACCCGGACCCCTTCTCTTTACTATAAACAAAAGTCAGGATGGGTTAAAGACTTAATGAGTTAAATGAAAAATGTAAAATGTAACTCATCTTGAGGGCTAAAGACTTAAATGTAAAACTTTCTGAACCTGGACCCCTTCTCTTTACTATAAACAAAAGTCAGGATGGGTTAAAGACTTGATGAGTTAAATGAAAAATGTAAAATGTAACTCATCTTGAGGGCTAAAGACTTAAATGTAAAACTTTTAACTATAAAACCCTAGAATAACACCTAGGAATAAACATTCTGGACATAGGTCCTGTCAAAGATTTCATGACAAAGACTCCAAAATTGAAAAAAAAAAAATGGACAAGTGGGATCTAATTAAAGAATTTATACGCAGCAGAAGAAGCTATCCACAGAGTAAATTGAAAGAAACCTAAATTGAAAGAAAAAATATTTGCAAACTATGCATCTGACAGAGGTCTAATATCCAGAATCTATAAGGAACTTAAACAAACAAAACCAAAATAACCCTATTTAAAAAATGGGCAAAGGATATGAATAGACGTTTCTCAAGAAAAGACATACACTCAGCCAACAAGCATACGAAAAAATGCTCAACATCACTGATCATTAGAGAAATGCAAATCAGAACCACAATGAGATACTATCTCATACCAGTTAGAATAGCTTATTAAAAAGTTGATGCTGATGAGATTAAGGGGAAAATGGAATGCTTATACACTGCTAGCAGGAATGTAAATTAGTTCAGCCCCTGAGGAAAGCAGTTTGGAGATTTCGCAAAGAACTTAAAATTGAATTATCGGTCATCCCAGGAATTCCATTTCTGGGTATATATCTAAAAGAATATAAATGTTCTGGCCGGGTGCAGTGGCTCACGCCTGTAATCCCAGTACTTTGGGAGGCTGAGGCGGGCGGATCACAAGGTCAGCATATCGAGACCATCTTGGCTAACATGGTGAAACCCCGCCTCTACTAAAAATACAAAAAATTAGCCGGGCGTGGTGGCGGGCGCCTGTAATTCCAGCTACTTGGGAGGCTGAGGCAGGAGAATGGCGTGAACCCGGGAGGTGGAGCTTGCAGTGAGCCAAGATCATGCCACTGCACTCCAGCATGGGTGACAGAGCGAGACTCTGTCTCAAAAAAAAAAAAAAAAAAAAAAGAATATAAATGTTCTGCCAGAAAGACACATTAATGCATATGTTTATTAAAGCACAATAGCAAAGATGTGGAATCAAGGTAGACACTCATCAGTGCTGAACCGGATAAAGGAAATGTGGTAGATATGTACCATGGAATATTATGCAGTCATAAAAAAGAATGAAGTCATGTCCTTTGCAGCAACACATGTGGAATTGGAGGCCATTATCCTAAATTAGTTAATGCAAGAAAAGAAAACCAAACACCACATGTTCTCACTTATAAGTGGGAGCTAAATATTGAGTATACATGGTTATAAATAATGGACACTAGGGCCTACTTGAGGGTGGAGGGTTGAAGGAGAGTAAGGTGTGAAAAACCACCTCTCAGGTACTGTTTATTACCTGGGTGATGAAATAATCTGTATAAGAAACCCCTGCAACATGCAATTTACCCATGTAACAAACCTGTATATGTACCCCTCGAACCTAAAAATAGTTGGAAAGAAAAAAAAGTGATTTTCAAAATATATGTATGTATTTTTAAAAGGCCAAATACTGTGGCTTATGACTAATCCCAACACTTTGAGAGGCTAAGGTGAAAGGATCACTTGAGCCCAGAGTTCAAGGCCACCCTGGGCAACATAGGGAGACCTTGTCTCTATGAAAAACAAGAAATTCATCAGTTATGGTGGTGTATACCTGTAGTCGCAGAGAGGAGGCTAAAGTGGAGGATCACTGGAGCCTAGGAGGTTGGTCCTTCAGTGAGCCATGATTATGCCATTGCACTCCAGCCTGGGAAAGACAGCAAGACCCTGTCTCAAAATTAAACAAACAAAAAGTATGATTTATTGTGTGTGGCTCAATACTTTCTCTTGTCAACATGCCACACCCAATGGGAAGGAGAATTAATCTCTATCTTGACCTCCAATACCATAGATTAGGTTCACTTAATTTTATACTTTATGCAATTTAATCATAGAATATGTATACTTTTTAATGTAACTTCTTTTGCTCAGTTATGTTCATGAAATTAATCCATATTTTTACTTGTAACTGTACATTGTTTATTCTCATTTCTGAAGAGTATTCAGTTTAGCCATTCTGGCATAGTGGCTTTAATTTACATTTCCACAGTGACTAAGGATGTTAAGCATCATTTCTTACGTGCTCTTGATCTAAATAATTGGATATTTTCCCACTTTATTGGCGGCATTTTTACTCTCTTGATGGCATATTTTTGATAAACAGTAGTTCTACATTTTAAAATAGTCTGATTTATTATTTTTTCTTCTCTGATTTATACTTTATTTTTTTTCGAGACGGAGTCTTACTTGGCTGGAGTGCAGTGGCATGATGTCGACTCACTCCAACCTCCGCCTCCTGGGTTCAAGCAATTCTTCTGCCTCAGCTTCCCGAGTAACTGGGACTACAGGTGCACACCACCAAGACTGGCTAGTTTTTGCATTTTTAGTAGAGACGGCATTTCACCACATTGGCCAGGCTGGCCTCAAACTCCTGAGCTCGTGATCCGCCCGCCTGGGCCTCCCAAAGTGCTGGGATTACAGGCGTGAGCCACCGCACCCAGGCTATACCTTTTTAAATAAGCAAAACTACTGCCTACTCTAAGAGCAATAAGATGTTTTCTTATGTTTTCTTTGTAAAACATGCGTTGTTTACCTTTGTGAAAAAAAAATAAACCTCAGGACCCCCAAATTACTAAGCCAAGGGAAAAGTCAAGCTGGGAACTATGTCACCCAAATCTGCCTCCCATTGTATTCCTAAATAAGGTAGCTACAAAGATAAAAAGCTACATACCTCCCCCACAGGGAATTTCCTTGTGGACAAAGGACAGACAGAACTCAAAGTCATCCCTCTGAGGCTCACCTGAGACAAATGCATATCTGATTGCTTTCTCCACTGTATTGTTTATGTAAAAATGTAGATTCACTGAGCCAGACCAAATTGTGCATTCGTGTATTCAGTGGAAGGCTGATCAAGGACTCAAAAGAATGCAGTCTTTTGCCTCCGCCCCGCTCTTCAAGTTGTCCTGATTTACTGTACCTAAGGCAATGTTACACATATTAATTGATGTCTCATGTCTCCCTAAAATGTATAAAAGCACACTTGAACCCTGACCACCTTGGGCACATGTCTTCAGGAGCTCCTGAGGCTCTGTCAGGGGCCCATGTCCTTAACCTTGGCAACATAAACTTTCTAAATTGATTGAGACCTGTCTCAAATACCTTTTGGTTTACAACCTCATATTCAGATCTGCAATCCACCTGGAAATGATTTCTGTATATACATGAGCATTTTTTAGTTTTTATTTTATTTTTTCTTATTTTGGCTCGTTTTTGCTATCGACCTCTAGCTCAACTAAATTGTGGTCAAGAAACATTCTGTATGATTTCAGTCCTTTGAATTTTACGAATATGCATTATGACTAGTGTTTGGCTAATTGCTATTAAGTTCTCCTTGAGACAATAAAAATGATGTGCATTCTGCAGAATTATATGGTTTTTTTTTGTTTGTTTGGTTTTTCTGTTTTTTTGAGAAAGAGTCTCACTCTGTCGCCCAGGCTGGAGTTTAGTGGCATGATCTAGGCTCACTGCAAGCTCCACCTGCCGGGTTCACACCATTCTCCTGCCTCAACCTCCCAAGTAGCTGGGACTACAGGAGCATCTTTTTTCCCGTCTTCTTTCCCATCTTTTTTCTTTCCAACCTTTCTATATTTTGTTTTTACATATATCTCTTAAATAGTGTAAAATCAAGTTTCGTTTTTTGTCTAGGCAGATAACAACTGTCTTTATTTACATTAAATATTTTTAATATTTGGCTTTAAATCTACAATCTTGCTCTACATTTTCTATTTGTCTTATGTAGTCTTATACTTTATAATCTCTTTTCTTGCCTTCCTTCATATTACAATTATTTTCTCTTTCCCCCAAATTAACTCAGCATTTATTCCTTTTTTACTATAGTTTACTGGTTTTCCTGAGAAACATGTACTAGAATTAATTGATTCTCTCTTCCCAGACAATGCAAGCACTGCAGAACACCTTTTCCTTCAAAGTATATGCATTTTAAAATTTATTTTAATTATGTACATTTTATAAGACCCCTGAGACAATATATTATTATTTTTTGCAGTCGGTATTCACTTAAATTTACCTGCATATTTTATCATTTATTTTGCTTTAACACAACTTTAAGAAGTGATGCTTTTGGCTGGGCATGGTGGCTCACACCTGTAATCCCAGCACTTTGGGAGGCCGAGGAGGGTGGATCACAAGGTCAGGAGATCGAGACCATCCTAGCTAACACAGTGAAACTCTGTCTCTACTAAAAAAAATACAAAAAATTAGCCGGGCTTGGTGGCGGACGCCTGTAGTCTCTGCTACTCGGGAGGCTGAGGCAGGAGAATGGTGCAAACCCGGAAGGCGGAGCTTGCAGTGAGTCGAGATCGCGCCACTGCAGCCTGGGCGACAGACCGAGACTCTGTCTCAAAAACAAACAAACAAACAAACAAAAAAACACTGACTTTTTTTTTTTTTTTTTGGTCACCCACATGACTCAAACTTTTAATAGCTGTTTTGCTTCTGATGCACTCTTAGACCTGTTACTGGTGGCAGGTATCTGAGTTACCATCTGCGAATCTGTACGGGTCTGCAGCAACCTGAATTCTTACCTCCTCAGAATAAAGAATTCAATTTAGGGGCATAAGGCAGAAAAAGAGACAGGAAGTTTCAGAGCAGGAGTGGAAGTTTATTAAAAAGGCTTTAGAACAGGAAAAAAGGGAAAGATCACTTGGAAGAGATCCAAGTGGGCGACTTGAAGAACAAGTGTCGCATTTAACTGTCATCCTAGGACTTTGTAGGCTGGCATCTTATGCCCCTTTTTGTGATTCTTCCCTTAGGGTGGGCTGCCCGCATGCACAGTGCCCTCCTTACGCCTGGGAAGTGAGCACGTGCACTGTCTTTAGGAAGTGGTACACATGCCCATCTGAGGCTTCCTTCCCTTTTCCGGTGGAGTGGCCCCAGAAGGTCATACTCTGATATTTTGCCTCTTAATGCACATGCCTGGGAAGTTGCTTCTTCCTGGCTGCTGCATAATTTTAACACTTTAATGTTAATAGCTTTGGATGGTAAGGAGGTTGTCTCTCCCTGATGCCCTGGCACAGGCTGCCAAATTATCATTTTTAGAGAGGCAGTGTGATAATTGTCAAACCATCACTTGACATTGCTAGTGGGTAGGGGTGAACAGCCCTCTCCTGCCATGCTCTTGCCTGTCTAACTACCTGTAACAGACCTAGAGTACACTTGTCTGATTCCAACCCATTCACAAGGGATTTACCAGAGCCACACTATTTGGTGACATTTATTTCCAAGGTAATTTTCCATGGACCCAGGAATCTTCCCAAAGTAATGCCCAGTCTGTTGGATACCTATTCTGGGCTGCCAATGCCTACAGAGCAGAAGGATTCCAAAAACCAGGCTCTTCTCTCTAGATTTCTGGTTTCTTCCGGGTATTGAAGCCATAATTATTTCCTACTTTATTAGTTATAAGACGACATAAGGAAAATGTTTCATATATATTGTTTAGCTCTTTTGTTATCCTCTTCAGGAAGTCTGGTTCAAAATATTCAGTTTGCCATTACCAGAAGTCTATAATGACCTTTTACAAGGCTTTTTCTCTCAACTGGACTAGTTCTCTAAGAATTATCTTATTTTCTGTTCCACTTCTCAGTACCTGCGTGGCACTTAGTAGGCAAATAGTGAACATTGTTAAACAAATTATTCACTTTATTCAGATAGCCCCAAAGAAAATACTACAATAAATACATCAATAGTGCTATCTCAAACATCCATACATTTAGAGATGAATCTGGATGAAGACAGACACATTTTCCTATGGCTGTGTTTTAATAATTTATGTAATTAGTAATTACGTAGTATACCAAGGCGTCATTAAAGATATTGCTAGTGAGGCCAGGTGCAGTGGCTCATGCCCATAATCCCAGCACTTTGGGAGGCCGAGGTGGGTGATCACCTAAGTTCAGAAGTTCGGGACCAGCCTGACCAACATGGTAAAACCCCGTCTCTACTAACAATACAAAGATTAGCCAAGCGTGGTGGCACATGCCTGTAATCCCTGCTACTCTGGAGGCTGAGGCAGGAGAATTGCTTGAACCCAGGAGGCGGAGGTTGCAGTGAGCCAAGATTGTGCCTTTGCACTCCCAACTGAGCAGCAAGAGTGGAACTCCATCTAAAAAAAAAAAAAAAAAAAAAGATATTGCTTGTAAAAGCTCAATTTACATTTCTAATGAAGCATAGTGCCTATTAAGAAATGGAGGTACATTGTAGTAAGTGTTTAATTTTACACTGGTATTTTAAACTAGGCAGAACCAAATAAGTATTTTTTTGTGTGATGATGCCAAGAAATTTTTTCACCCAGCAATCAGTTTTATGAGAAACAGCCTACAGATCTGTAGATAAAAGGGAAGATGAGTGAAAAATCAAAATGAGAAAGCACATCTATTGCAAAATTGAGAGAAACTGAGTAAAATAATCTGACAATTTAAGCCAAATATAATCATTTATTTATTCTACTTGCTATATATACTACGTAAGTCATGGTTCATAGACTATAATGGGCAAGTATGGCATTGTTTTCCAGCCACTTTATAATATAACCTCTTCTCCCACTCACTCCATCAATAGAATTACAGTAGGAGCTGCCCGTTTTTGTTTCTGTTTTTTACTTCCTTTCTTTCCCTTTTACTTTTTCCATTTCAACCTTCCTTCCTTCTTTCCTTCTTTTCCCTTCTCCCTCTCTTCCTCCTTCTCTTCTTCTTTCTTCTACTTCATTTCCTTCTCTTCCTACTTCATTTATTTTTATTTTCCTTTTAATAACTTTAAGCATTACAAAAACACTAGATACTTATTCAAATTCAAGTTTTGTCACTTGGTCAAGTCTCTGAACATTTGTTGTCACAGTTCATTAATCTCTAAACAAAATTATTAGAAAAGTGATGTTTAATGTGTCTCCTAGTTATAATAGTCCATAAGTCTATGAATGTTCCATGTTGCTAACAAGATCCTATTTCTCTGGCCACAATTGTTTGTCCAGTTTTGGGCACACAATCCAAGCTGAACAAATGATTCCCTTCTCTGCAGTTTTTGGACTTGGAACCAGAGATAGCAGCAGTTAGTAATGTTTTCTCTTTGGAGGTTAAATTGAAAGGTGTACAACTTAAAACTGCTTGTAGTCAACTTTACTGCTAAGTTGAGAAAGTTTGAAAAGGAAGGGAAAAACAATGTGAGCATTCAAGAAGCAGCAGAGATGAAAGCCCAAGTCCTTGATGTCATGTGAGTTCTAGTGTTCACTACCTATCACTAGATCTAGTGTCCCTGGGGTACAAATATAGCCCTCTCTTTTTTCTGGTTTGGTTTCCATAACATGACCTAGAATCCTTCCAAAAAATTACTTTTTTCCCTGAGATCATTTAAATTGTATTTCTGTGTCTTTAAACTTGAGAAATCTTAAAAATCATACAATAAAAAAGCTATATTTTAATCATTGTGGCTATATTTTTCTTGAGAAATGTTATTTAAATCTAGCTTTTCTTATATTTTTGTATCCCTTTATGATAACTGTCTGCTCACATTTTCACATGCTATCTGCCATTAACTCCATATTGTTAATGCCAAGGGGACACAATCCAGCTTTGTCTTTAGTGTGACATTATTCAATTTTCAGGCAAATGGCGAGTATTTTTCAAAAAGCTTTTGGTTTATAGGACATTCCTTCAATCTTTAATGTCACATTCGTATAATCTCATACTCAGTTCTATTAATATACAGAGTAAGAATTATTTCTTTAGTTTTACAAATATTTCCTGAACATTTGGTTATGTAATGGAGCTATATACGATTAAAAAGTAGCAACTGCGCAATCACAGTAACACCACTAATTTGTTTCAAAACAAATTCTTTAACTTCATATGTACACAAAATTATGCTATTGGCAAATGTAAAAGTTAGAGACCCAATACTATGCCATTTATATAACATGTGAAGAATGCTAGAGGCTGAGATGTCTTGTCAGCACATCCAGTACTGATTATGTAACTTAGATTAAATCCTTTTACCTGTTAAGGGTCCCAATTTCTTCTCTTCTGCAAGTTGGTATTAATAATATCACCTTATCTCCTTCAAAAACTTTTTGTAAAAGAGCTCAGGCAGCAGTGGGATATGATGGAAGATTTATATTATTAATTTTTTACTAGCATAGATAATTACCCAAATATTTTAAATTTCAATAATATAAAAACAATTCTGTAGTTTTGATAATCTATTCTTATATATTTCATTCTCAATGATAATATATAAGATAGATCTAGAAGATTAAGTCACAGGATACACAGGAAAACTTGATTTAAAAATATCTAATGTATGAGCCAATTTTCTTAAGCAATTTACATATCTTGCTGAAAAATAGAATGCTGGAAAGGGCTCAGATAAAGGATTTAGGTAAGGAAATCCAAGCAAGAGTTACTATTTGAAGATCTTTTATTATGAATCAGGAACTTTACAAATATTGCTTGCCATTTGACAAATAACCCAGAAAGATAAGAAATATTATCTCAACTTCACACAGAAGGAAATTGAGATTAGAAAGATTAAATCATGTGCCAAATTTATGTAGCTAGTTAATCACTGACCTGGGATTCAGCTCCTCTCCAGCTCATTATGGCTACAGAGAACAACTTTTTTCTATTCTGCAACACAGAACTGCTTCTCTAGACGTCACTAGCTATGCCTTATCCTCTGCAATTAGTTTATAATTTCTTTTGGAGTACATGAATGAAATAATTAATGAAAGAATTCATATGTACATAAATTAATTGATATATTAATAAAGTATATAAAAACAAATCCAGTAAATTTTACTTTTCCAAAGATTTTACAATACTCTGAGAATCGAGGAGTGTGTATGATTTTGTAATCAGTACATTGCATATTTCTAAGGCAAAGTTTAAAATTATGTATTAATGCACATCTGTCAATTTTTTGGAACTTTGCATGGTGATGTTTGGATTTTTTAGGTATCCAATACCATATGTTTTCTTAGGGCCCTAGGAGGTGAGTTTTTGTGGCTCATGTCAATTTTTTTGAGTTAGACAATCCAAGCTTGCTCTTTTGGAAGTATATGCTCGGAATTTTTACATGTGCATCATTTTCCAAGTTATTATTTAAATCTTTTTTTTTTTTTTTTTTTTTTTGAGACAGAGTCTCGCTCTGTTGCCAGCCTGGAGTGCCGTGGCACGATCGCGGCTTACTGCAACCTCTGCATCCCGGGTTCAAGCAATTCACCTGCCTCAGCTTCCTGAGTAGCCGGGACTACAGGTGCATGCCACCACGCCAAGCTAATTTTTGTAGTTTTAGTAGAGAAAGGATTTCACCATATTGGCCAGGATGGTCCCCATCTCTTGACCTCGTGATCCTCCTGCCTCAGCCTCTCTAAGGAGGCCTCCCTCGGATTACAGGCATGAACCACTGCACCTGGCCTATTTAAATAATTTCTAATAGATATAGCTACAATTTACCATTAATACTCTCAACAACCCTAAAATATAGTCACTTTACATATAGATAAACTAATATACAGAAAGATTATTCTACATGAGATAATATAGCTTGTAAATGGTACAATCAGTTAATAAGACAAACTTTCTGACTCCAAGGTGTAGATTCCATAGCCACAAACAACCTCAATTAATGTTGAATTCATAGCTATATTGAGGTCAACAGGAAAAATGTGTAAAAAAGATGCAAACACATTAAATCAGATTTCATAACTATTCCTGTGGGTATAATCTAGCAATTGTATATATTACATTGTAATATGAAATGTATTTCTTTGAAAAACTATGCCCATACAAGGAACTTCACATGAGTATCTTTAGCAGCTTTATTCCTGATTGCCAAGACTTAGAAACAGTCAAGAGTGTTCACTTCAATGGGTGAATGGATAAACAAATTGCAGCACTTACACACAATGAAATATTATTTAGCAATAAAATAAATGAACTCTCCAGTCATGAAAAGACACAGAACCTTAATTTCATATTTTTATGTGAAAGAAGCCAATCTGAAAAACCTACATACCATATGATTACAACTGTATGACATTCTGGGAAAGACCAAACAATGGAGATACTAAAAAGATAATTAGTTTTCTAGAGTTCATGGAAGAAAGGGATGGAGGAGTAGGTGGAGCACGGGGAAGTTTTAGGATGGTAAAATTATTTTGTAGGATACTGTGATGAATACATGCCATTATTCATTTATCAAAAACTCACAGAATGCACAACACCAAGAGTAAATCCTGATGTAAACTATGGGCTTTGGGTGATAATGGTGTGTCTGTGTATGTTCATCAATTGTAGTGAATGTACCACTCTGGTGGGGGATGTTGATAATTGGGGAGGTTATGCACGTGTGGGGACAGAGAGTGTGTGGGAAATCTCTGTACCTTCTGCTCAATTTTGCTATGAACCTAAAACTGCTTTAAAAAAAAAAGTCTATTTAAAGAACAAAATAGCTATAGAGTATACAACATAAAGAGTGAACCTACCTGTAAACTAAGGACCTTAGTTAATAATAATATATAAAATTGATTTATCAACTGTAACAAATTTATCATACTAATGTAAGAGATTAATAATAGGGGAAACTGCAGGGAGTGAGGGGGTATAGGGAACTTTATACTTCCTGCTCACTTTTTCTGTAAACCAAAAGCTGCTTTAAGAAATAAAGCCAATTAATTCAAAAATGAAGTAGATGTATATTATGTTGATATTATGAGTATGCACCTATAGAAATTGCCTTTGTCTGGAGAATTCAGTAAATGCTCCAAGGTCAAATGAAAAAAAAAAAAAAGACCGTTTAGAAGATATGTAAATTGATTAGGTCTGTGAAATAAAATTTCCAGAGACTATAAGAATCACATATTCAAAAAATGCTTAGATTGCATCCTGGGAAATGATCATGAGGACTTTAAATGTAGCTCTAGAGAAGATAAAGATCTTGATGAGCGGGTTTTGTATAAGAGCTTGAGTAAGTTGTATCATATATTAAGAGTGAGATGGAAAAACATGCTATTTCTTAATAATTTTGTTATTTGAAAAGATATACTATTTATTTATTTATGTAGTTATTTTGAGATAGGGTCTCACTCTGTCACCCAGGCTGAGTGCAGTGGCATAATCATAGCTCACTGAAGCCTTGACCTCCTGGGCTCAAGTGATCCTCCTACCTCATCTTCCTAAAGCGCTGGGACTACAGGTGTGCACCACCACACCTTGCTAATTTTATTTTTTGTAGAGATGAGGTCTCACTATGTTGCCCAAGCTAGTCTCGAACTTGTGAATGTAAGTGATCCTCCTCCCTAGGCTTCCTGAAATGCAAGCATTGCATGTGTGAGCTACGGAGCTCAGCCTAAAATATGTGGTTTAAATATATAAATGTAACTAATTTAATAAACAGAATTAAAACTAGTTATCAGATAACCTCATAAACATTAAACTGATAAGTGAATGTATATTATTCTAGGGCAAAATCATTTGATTAGTAAAATTCTCATTGGGAATATGGAGGCTCACTCTATTTGGGGAATTATATTATATTGAAGCATTCATGGTATTTTTTAAGTGCTTGTCATATATTAGGCTCTGGGTTAGGTATTGTAAGGCAGATACAAAATAATCACCAAGATATGGTTCCTGAACAGAGTCCCTAAATTATGATTCTATGATAGGGTTTGAATGGAAATAATTGAAGGGTAACTCTAGTCACTGCTCAATGTTTATGAACAGTTCCTGTGAAACATGGAATTTATTATGCCAGTCTAAAGGAAGGAGAAGTTGCCTTGTCTGGAGAATTCAGTAAACGCTCCAAGGAGAAAACAATATTTTTGATGACCTTCAGTGGATTTGAAAAATGGAGAGGAAAAGATGAAAATTTTAGGTTGAAAGAAACTCCATAAGCACAAATAAAAGTGCAGAAAATAATAAATTGTGTCTGAGAGTTGACAGGTAAGTCAGTAATTTGGTTAGATCACAAGAATCTGAGTATGAAGTGGAGGGGAGAATTCTTATGGAAATGGTAGATGTGGATAATGCATGTGCTGGATTGACAGCAAGATAAAGCATAGTCCTTTTTCAGTTAGCAATAGATGGGGAGATAGTAAAACGATTAAGAGTTTCTGAGCAAGAGCTAGCCCTTAAAAAACTCAAGGTTATTCTTCAGTTTTGTGATAATAGAACTTACCTTACTGCATTACACTTTATCAGGTCCTTTTGTCCTCTAGACTGTGAGATTCTCAAGGGCAGATGTCATGTTTTATTCATCTTGTTATTTTCAGCACTTAATATATAACTGGTACACAGTGTAAGAACTATAAATGCTTATTAATGAATAATTGAATTTCGTTTTTCTTAAACACTTTTAATATAATTTTGAGAACTTAGAAATATTGGTTTGAAAATACTCAAATCTGAATCAATTCTAATAACCACTGACTTCCTACCTCTGATTGGACTCTTCTAACCCTCCACGTCAGACATCTGGCGTTGATAGGGAAGGGACAAGGGAAGGAATTGAAATGTCATGGTTCAAAGAGACTAAGCCCCTAATAAATATATTACTGCTTTACTGAAAAAATACCCACATTATTGAGGTATGATCTACGTACAAAATGCTGTACATATTTAATGAACATAACTTGATAAGTTTGGAGGTAACTATACACCCATAAAATCATGACCACAATCTATGCCATAAACTTATCTATCACCTCCATAAGTTTCCTGTATTTATTTTTTATTTCTTTTGCAGGAGTACTTGACATAAGATCTATCCATGAAAGCAAACTTTCAAGTATACAACACAGCATTGTGAACCACAGGCCATACACTGTACAGTAGATCTCCAAAACTTATTCATCTTGCATGACTAAAACAATTTTGTACCCTTTGACCAATACTTCCCCATTTCTCCCTCCCTCCAGCTCCTGTCAGCCGCTATTCTAGTCTCTTGTTCTATTAGGTTGACTATTTTAGATTCCTCATAAAAGTTGGGGTCATTCAGTGTTTGTCTTGGCTTATTTCACTTAGAATGTCCTCTAGATTCAAACATGTTGTCACAAATAGCAAATTTCCTTTCTTTTTAAGGCTGAGTAATATTCCATTTTATATACATATACATGTATACACACACTATATATTCCATATTTTCTTTATCCATTCATCTGTTGAGGGATATTTAGGTTGTTTCCATATTGTGGCTATTGTGAATAATGCTGCAATGAACATGAAAGTACAGATATCTCTCCAAGATCCTGACTTCAATTTCATTGAATATATACCCAGAAGTGGGATTGTTGGATCAAATAATTCTATTTTTAACTTTCTGAGGAATCTCCATACTGTTTTCCATAGTAGCTGCACTAATTTACATTCCCACCAAGAGTGTGCAAGGATTATCTATTCCCCACAAAACTTGTCTTTGAACTACTGCTTTTCTTTGAACTCACTGTCCTCCCAATATACTAGACCTGGTAACTGGATATTTAGATTGTTTCTTGTGCCTAAAAAGTCTTTGTGACATGTCTGTGACCCCAGCTTCTCTAAGACTGTGGCTTATTTTGCTTCTCCAGGTTCCCTGCTTAAAGTTTAACCTTGAAACTCAGGCCAGTGCCTGCAATCCAGTGAGCTACCTGCTGACAGGTGTCCTTCAGGCGTTTCTCCTGGAATCCTGAATGCTGCTGTTGGAATTTGTCTCTATGCCCTCCTCAAACCCCTTATCAGGACACTGCTCTGAATACTGCATTCTGTCCTTCAGACTGTCCTTCCCCTCAGCATCTGCTATTCAGTTTCTATAAGCAGCGCCTGTTCCTCCTATATAGGAAGATTTTGTTCTAGGTCTGGTCCCAGCCTGCTATAAATAACTGAGTCACATACAAGCGACTTCAAAAATATTACTGAATATAACATTAAAATAATCTACATTTTAAAATTAAAAATACACAATCACAATAACACCACTTCTTTTATTCTGCCTTATCAAACTAGCATAGCAGTATAATTTATCTTTTTACATTACAAACAATGGCCAAAATGATCAGAAAATATGTACTTGAAGTTAATTACTTTTACAAATATGATAAGATGTCTTGGAGAAATAAGAGAGGAATTTCTGCCACAACCCATTCTAATGTCTGAGAAAAAAAAAGCGTTGTCCTCAGCACTGCATAAACTCAGGTGAAACTTAATATTGTTTATTTTTAACATTTCCAATGGTTATTAACTAACAGACTGTCAGTGTTGGAAGAGACTTTAGAGGTCAGCAATGATTTCTTTCTTGAATGGGATAAGTGCAGTAATCTTATAACTCTTTAAAAGTAAAATGGATTAGCTAAACTAATTCCCTTTCCACATTGAAATGCTATGCAACATATTTGAAAAATCTTTATTGCTTCCATTCCAGTGGCAACAAGCAGAAAGTTTTCCTTGCCTTGTCTGTCAGCCTTGTTACTATCAAAGATTTATCCTAAAAAGAGCATAAAAAATTTTCTTACAAAAATTATACTTTTGTGGATTTGCTACAATAAGTTATCCCCTTAATTAAGACTTTCCCACCTAGCAAAGGGAAAAACTTCTGTCATCGCTATCCCTGTGGTAACATTACACATTATAACATTACCACATCTCTGTGGTAACATTACTCCAGTAATTGCACTGATCCCTCTAAGGTCTGTCTTTTTACCTGAGTAAACATTCCAAGGGTCGCATCTTTCTTTACCCAGGACTACTACTGCACTTTGCACATGGCAGTGGTTCAATAAGTATTTTTTAAAAGAAATAATAAAGGAATGGATAAATGAATGCAACCAATAAAAGATAGGTAAATAATTATTTGTATCAACACACAACTGAATGTATATCTGAAATGGAGTAATGGTTAAAATCATTGATGCCTTTGAAAAATTACCTGACTTGCACATTCTTACTTTCCTTCTGTTACTATCGTAACAGTAAGGCAAGCCAAACACAGTCTCTCCTCTTGGGTAGTGAATTCTTACTCATTCTTCTTAGGATAAAAATTTGATTCTTTGTGAAGTATTTCTCATTCCTTCAGGCAGAACTTTATATTCATTTCTCTTATTACTTTGTAACAAGACAATTACATTGTATTGTCATTTTCTCCCCAGGAATTATCTAGGCCTTAAATGAAAACTAAATATGAGTCTTTATATATCACCCAAGGTTGTTCACTGTGTTTCTGTACCTCTGGATTTAAATTTGCTGCCCCTGATCACATTCCCTGTGCTCATAGACATCTTTGAAGGATATACACATGCATGACATTTTTACCAGTTTTGCACCATAATCAACCTTTTAAATGGACTCATTTTACTTTTTTACTATGTCATGTCAACAACTACTATTAAAATGTAGTAACAGATGTTTGAAGTGTGTGGTAAATAAATTTGTGTGTGTAGCACAGATAATAAATATACTACTGAGCTTCGACAGTTTAATTCACATGAAATCCAAACAGTTTGAATGTCAGTTAACAATGAACAACTTTAAGCAGGCTGTGGTAACTATAATGCTTATTGGGAAACGATGAATATTTTATATTCTAAAAAGTACAGCCTATTTTCCTTTGTCCTAAGTAAAAATGTGTAGTTCAAGAATTGAGCATTGAAATTCCCCCATATAGAATTCTCTACCTGAAAAAGAATGACTAAAGATAGATAAGATAATGTATATACATATATTGATATATATTTCTGCATGTAGAGAGAGATCATTCTATCACTCATTTATCTATCTAGATGCTATACTGTGAAATGAAATGATAGATTGCTCATATACAATGATTGTCTTCATTTTTGGTTTGTGGTCTAGTAATCCTTGGGATATACAAGGACTTGTAGCCTAGGGGTGTTAAGTTCTTTTTGGTATAATTACTTCTATTTACACAGTAATGTCCCCAGGCTTAGGATCCCAACCAGGGCCTCACCATTATTGGGTGGGCAAATTTTGTATTGTCAGGTATCTGGCATCACCTGAGGCATTAGCTTACACCGGCTCTTATAGTACCTGACACCATGATTCTTTAGGTGTCATTAGGCCTCTTTAATTATGCTTAGAAATTCTTAGTCACTGCCCCAAAGATAAGCTTTTCAGTTTGACCACCTTCTGGTAGCCACTCTCATATTGCTCAATGCTGCTCCTCCTGGACACATTCAATTTCTCCTGCTTCCTTTCTTATCTCTCTTAAAATTCACCAGACCTTCTGAAATCCACTGTTTGTGGTAAACTCCTCTTCATATTCTCAACTAGACACAAAATTCTTTTCTAATTCCTTGCATTAATTATACCCTAGCATATATTAGAAGACACTGATTTGGCTGCAGACTGCTAGAGCATGGTTAAGCAAGCTTTCCCTATAAAAGGCCACATAGTAAATATTTTAGGCTTTGTGGGCCATATGGTTTTTGCTGCAATTAATCAACTCTGCCACTGCAGTACAAAAACAGTCACAGACAATGTATAAATTAATGAGTGTTGCTGTGTTTCAATGAAAGTTCATTTACAAAACAAGCAGCAGGCCAGATTTAAGGGCCTTGGTGATCAGCTCCTGCTTTACAGTAGAGAGTGTCCACCCTCCCATATATCTTGTTTCACAAAAGCAAACGATTGAGTCACAAATCTAACTTTCCAGTTCATTGTACTCCCATCCTTGTATAAGTCATCCTTTATCCCATTCACGTCACTGTTCTTTACCAATTTCTTGGTCACTCCTGAACATATTTTAAAGAATCTGGTGACTGATTCACACTATTCCTCTTAACTCAAGGCCTATCTACTATCTGAAATTTCTATGGCAATCACCAAATATAAACATTTCCAAATTGAACAATAATATTTCACAACATTTAATTTCTTGTTCACCTCAACTCTGATTATCTTACAATCCATCTTGTCTACCCTTACTTATGACAGTATTTTGGATCATGTCATCAAAATGCAGTGCTCTAGAGCAGAACATTAAACTGCTGACAGAATATAATAATTTATAACACTCTCTCACTACAACCTCCTTTTATTCCAGTTATTCTCATTCCTTTATCTCTACCAAAATGATCACTCAAATTAATTAAGCTTTCATTCCTTTGACTTCTCAATTTTATCCCAAACCATTCTATTTCATCTGTCTCTACTTCCTTTTCTATTCAACTGAAGCCCTATAATAGTAGCAGTCAGAATTTATTGAGTACTTATTAAGTGTCAGACACTATGCTAAGTATTTCACATGCATTATATAATGTTAGTTCTCACAACAACCCTGTGAGGTAGGTACCAATGTCTTCAGATGAGGCAAATGTGATTTTGAGAAATTAGGTAATTGAATCACCCAATTAAGTTTCAGAGTGAGCTTTGAGTATAGGCCTGCCAAACACTAAAGTGCATTATGCAAAATAATGCAAGTAACTCATTTAAGTATTCTTAGCGCTTATTTGTGGCACTGGTAATATAAAGATCAAGAAGAAATGGACTACTTCTTCAAGAAGCTGAAGTTTAGTGGTAGAATCCTTCATGCATACAGTCATCCTTCATAAATACAATGCAACATCATGTAATAATAAAGAAATGTTCAAATTAATATTATAGCAAATGGGAGAGAATGAACTTCCTTAAGAGACTCTTTGCAGATAAAACAACACTTCACCTGGGTCTTAAAGAGTAATCTGAAATTTACCAGGTGGGAAAATTTTAGAATATTTCAGGAGGAAGAAAAATCATGTACATTGACATGGAGATAGGCTTCAGCAGGCATGGTCCTCTAATGTTAGATAACAAAGGTGAAAGGACTGGAAGTGTTCGGAGAGGAAACTAGCAATTAGGTGACTGACAGCTATTGCACGGATTCTATGGAATTTGTATGTTTTTTCTTAGAAAATGGAGAGATTTTATTTAGTTTTATGTCCTAGTGTACATATTAGAAAGAGGAAGCTCCCATGATAATAAAAAAGGCAACTTTTGGGAGCAAAGACACAGAAAAAATAATCAGAATTGTTGAGGAAAAAGACTGAATGGAGGGCTGGCACCCTATGGGGTCAGAGAAGAAAGAATGAATTCAAGACAAATGCCAGAAACTGAATTGTGAGAGTTTAATATATTGGATGCAGTAACATAGAAGGGAGAGGATAGAGGCACCTCGATGGCTTAGATTTCTTTCCAAGGAGACTATTAAAATGGTGATGCCACTATATAGGTACATTAAATAAGGAGATGGAAAACATTTTTTGTAAGAAGATAATGTACTAAATTTTAAAATGGCGAGTTTCAGATAGTCCAGGGATGGAGATTCTGAGATTCAAAAGTTATAATGAGTTTATTAATAGGAATGGGTGATTTGAAACAGACATGTGGAACAAAGGCGGGAGAGGGAAATGATCCAGATGAACACAATCAGAGGGGAGGAAAACTACCAGGGCATAGAGGTGCCCACAAAGCCAAGGGAAGAAAAAATTGTAAGAGGGAGTGGAAAAGAGAAGAAAAATGTCTCAAACAGGCCATAAACCAATAGAACCATGGGATTAGTGGCTTAGGGACAATTTCGCTGGAATTTTGGAGGCAGAAATCAATAATTTTATAATAGTTAAAAATGGTTTATGTGTTCAGATTTGTTTATCAAATGTTACATATTTATAAACTGATTTCAATTAAAGTATCTATCTCTACCAATATAAATAATTTTCATCCTTTGTTTTTAGAATGTTTTTGAAAGGATTGGGATTGGGCTATTAGATTTTGAAGACACTGGAGAACAGATGGCCACATTTTCAATATGACTTAAGATGATATTTGATAATAAAATACAATAATCAGTAACTTTATGTTTTCTCATTGCAACACTTGCCCCCAGATTTCTGGGGGAAAAATCCCAATTGTTTTTCTTATTATTTCTTATAATCTATTCTCATGTTTTCTATTCTGGTGTGAGGATCCCACATGATTATAATTTGTAATTTTCTCAGTAGTGATTAAATACTTATTTGCTTTTACTCTGCTAAATGTATAACACATTTAATGAAAATTATCCCAATTTTACACTCTTGTCAAAATTCAAAGAAATTAGTTTAAACTTTTGTTGCTTGACTTTTTTGATTCAAATAAAGTTATGTTCATAGCAAAGAACATGTAATGCCAATTTTGTAGTAAATGCTAACTCATTGTCAATGGCAGAGAAAAGTAATCATTTTAGGCTAAACATAGCTATTTTTATTTGTTTAACCAGGCTTTCAAGAAATATTATAACAGAAGCATCGAGAAATAAATTCCAGAAATCATGCACTTTAGACTGAAATTGTTTCCTATTCCAAAGTGATGGAAATATTAATGATTGTGTTCATTTTTAGTCTTAACAGGTCATAAGTTTCCCTTGAAACCGTGCAATAATGAATTACTAATTAGTAATGAGAACTTGCTTCTTCAGCAAGTGCTTGCCTCTCCCTAAGACAGGTCAATGTGGGGTGAAACTTTTCACCTGGGTGTATGCTGCAGGCCTCTGCACTTAGGGTATTAACTAAAAGGTTATTCCCTGAAATTACTAGGCAGAAAAAATGGTTGGCTGATTTTATTCTGTCTCCTTTTGCCTAGGAGGTTACATGGGGGAGCTGCATTTTTGAGCAGCATTTATTTTTACAACAGTCTGAATGAATTGAATCTGTAGGCGTGATTAAGCATGCGAAATGAATACAGTGCTGTGGCTCCTACCCACAGAAGATACAGAGTATACTGTCAATGGCTGAATATATACACATGAAATTAACTAAAAGACATGTAATTGCAGAGGGGTCCCGTATATCGGTAGTATTAGCAATATCACCATCTCTCAGTTATCTTCCCTCTCAACCCTCCCAAGGTATCTCCTCAATGAATATATGATTAAGAAATACATATAATTAACAGACAATATATTAGCCTAATTTTGTACCTGAAGCCTGACTACAGAAATTATGAGAAACGGTAAATGTTCATCTACCTTGCTCCCAATTACTAGGAAATCCCTAATGCTAGGAAATCTTTCTATTCCTAGCTCTATCTGGAGTCTCTCTCTTGGAATCCAAGCATACACGGTTAGCTTTTTAAGGACTCTCGGGAGCATTTTGCTTTTGATCTTTACCTTCCCACTTTTTCCGTTCCCCACCTTCACTTTCATCACAAGCAGCTTACTTGGATGTTGATTAAAAAGGGCCCAAAACTTGTCATTCCTTCCTTGAGAAGTGGAATTTCTTTCTCTACCCTTTTAGTTTGGGCTGATCCAAGGATTGTTTTCAACCAGAGAATATGGCAGTAGAAGCCCTATGTAATACTCAGGCTGAATATTAAGAGATTTGCTTACATTTTTAAGCACTTGAATGCCATCTCTTCGAATCCAGCAGGCATGCTGTGAGAAGTTCAAGCCATGTGGAGAGACGATGTAAAGGAGTAACAACACATTCAGCTTAGCAGCCTCATCTGAGATCCCAGACCATAACTAGCACCAGCTGCAGCCAGCCATTTGAGTGAAGTGTGCTGGGTGTTCTACCAGCAGAGCCTCCAGATGACTGCAGAACCAGCTGACATCTGATGCAATATAGCAGAACGACTCAGCTGAGGTCCTAATTGATAGAGAAGCATGAGAGATAATTAAAAGTTGTTGGGCAGGGCACTGTGACTGACACGAGTAATCCAGCACTTTGGGAGGCCGAGGCAGGCAGATAGCTTGTGCCCAGGAGTTCAAGACCAGCCTGGGCAACGTGGCAAAACCCCATCTCTACACACAAGAAGAATACAAAAATTAGCTGGGTGTGGTGGCATGTGCCTATAGTCCCAACTGCTTGGGGGGCTGAGCAGGAGGATCACTTGAGCCGGGGAGAAGTCAAAGCTGCAATGAGCCAAAATCATGCTGTCAGAGGCGATCAAACCAAAGCTACTCTATCTTGAATAGGGGATGGGTAAAATAGGGCTGAAGCCAGCTGCATTCCCAGGAGGTTAAGGCATTCTTAGTTGCGGATGAGTTAGGAGGTCCGCACAAGGTACAGAGCACAAAGACCTTGCTGATGAAACAGCATATTGTAAAGAAGCCAGCCCAAGCCAGCCAAAATCACTGAGGGCAACAAATGTGACCTCTGGTTGTCCTCACTCCTCATTATATGCTAATTATAATGCGTTAGCATGCTAAAAGTCACTCCCACTAGCACCATAACAGTTTTCAAATGCCATGGCAACATGAGGAAGTCACCCTATATGGTCTAAAAAGGTGTGGAACCCTCAGTTCTGGGAATTGCCCACCCCTTTCCTGGAAAACTCATAAATAATCCACTGCTAGTTTAGCATATGTCAAAAAGTAACAGTAAGTATAAGCAGCTGAGCAGCCTATGCTGCTGCCTAGCCTATGGAGTAGCCCCTCTCTCTTCCTTTACTTTCCTAATAAACTTGCTTTCACTTTACTCTATGGAGTCATAGAGTGTGTGAGATCCAAGAACCCTCTCTTGGGGTCTGGATCAGGACCACTTTCTGGTAATAGTGCCACTGCACTCCAGCCTGGGAGACAAAATAAGACCTCATTTCAAGAAAAAAAGGAAAAAAAAAGAAAAAGTTGTTGTTTTAAACCACTTTATTGGGTTGATGTGTTGCACAGAAATGCTTGACTAAAATACTAATTTTTATCTGAATATTTTGCTTATTAAATTTCCTAAGAATGCTTCATCTCAGTAAATTATTAAGGTTTTTTTCTTTTTTAAATATGAGATTCATTTAATGAGACAATGGACTTTGATATCAGTGAGAGCTGGTTTAAATACTTTATTTTTTATTAACTATATGACTTTAGGCCAGGTATTAAACTTCTCTAAATTATTTCTTCAATTTGAAGTATAACTAAAAAAAAAAAAAAATCCCTTAAATTTTAGCTCCCCCTCTTTAAGTAACATCTACTTCTTATAGTTGTTATGGGGATTAAGTGAAGCAATGTGTAAAAAAAAAAATTAGTACAGTTTCTGGCTGACATTAGGTACTTAAACATATCAATTTCCTTCTCATTTACCACATCCACATTGTAGGTGAATTTTAATTTTTTCTTTCTCTTACTCTCAGTTATATATGTTCCCATCTTTTTATCTGTCAAAAGACAGAGAAATGCAACTTTCAAACAAACAAACTAACTGACCAACTAATAAACAAATAAATTTCCTTGATGTTTGCCTGTTGTCAGGCCATCCATCCAAATTCTCTGTATGTCACAATGTGGCTTTTAAAACTCTTAGTGTAGATACCAATGAATTCCGCTTGAATAAACCTTAGTTGCCAGTCTTTTTATAGACCAAGTGGCTCATGGAGGGAAAGGGGAGTGTGGCCACAAATTCCACTTCACATCTCCCTCAACACTAATAGCTATTTAGTTTTTATTTATTATCCCTCCTCCTGCCCTATCCCTCATTCAAGGCCTCACTAGCCATTGAAAATTTTCTTGGTAATTTGATAATCTGTCAGTGCTCCTACTAGTTTCTCCTTCCAATAATGTATTGTTCCTGCGTTCTCTGAAATTCTTCCCTTCGACAAACATTCTGCCATTGTACATATTTCACAACCCAGTGTAATTATCCATCTCTTTTAGGGAGCTTTCTAAATACAGTCCATCTCACAATAATACCTCCTTTATTTTAATTCAGAAAATTGATAATAGATTTCCCAAATTACATGGGTTCAATTAATAAAGTAGTGCCTTGTGACTTGCTTTGTGTTTTCATGTTATTTTATAACTGTTCCATGAATATTGTTATTTACTCAGCCAAATTGAAAGCTTGAGAGCAAAGTCTAACATTTACCAAATATGTCATATAGGGTAAGTTACTTAACTTCTTAAAACCTACAAAATGGAAGTTATAAAATCATTCTTTCTAGGTTGAAGGCCAAATATATAGTTTAGCACACAATTATGTTTAATATAAGTCAGCTGGTTTTTAAATGTGTCCAACAAATGCCTGTTAGGCAACAGATTGAAAGGTAGGATTTTTGACTATACCATTGATCCGTGCTCATAATGTAAATTATAAAATACTATTGCACAGCTCTAACCTGATATACTGTATATGAAAGGTAGGCAACTGCTATATAAATGATACATGGACATCCATTTTTTGGTTCAGTGATTATTTCTTTCAGGAAGGACCTGATGACGTCAAATTTCTTTTGGAATTGTAACTTTTAGCTATTAAAAACTGAATTCTGATTGTTTTGGTTCTAACACAGGAAATAAAATCACATGTGTGAGAATGAAGTTTGGCTCTTGGCACTAGGCCTAAAATAAAGATCTTGGGTAAATGAGGACAACATGAATACACTAAATCCATCAATGAACACTAGTGAAAGGTAGCAAACAGAAGCAATGTCAGAAGAGCAGGGAAAAAAGATGGGCTGAATAAGATTAAGGCCAAAGTTTACCTACTTTGAAATTTTTATAACCTAAAGTAGTCTTGGGTTTGAAGAGACCTAACAATCATGTAGTCCAACCTCACACAGGTCATGAGGGAGGACACATATTACTTATGTTGAAAGGAAATTATCCACAGCAAGAATACTTTGTGTGCTTGTCAAAGCCATTTTCCAGCTGTGTGGCGATATGTAGCCTCTGCACATTTGTCCTTGTTTCAGCCTCTGGCATTGGTAGCATGATGTAAGAAAAAGAAAAACCAGAGTCTAGTGATTGAGAATATAAGCACATCATTTTCTTTTATGACTCAAATTCATAGATTCTGCAGAACAAGAGCCATCACTCAAAAGTAAAGTGGTTGGCTACCACCCGGTTTTGACTGTCCTTGGATAGACATAAGGTCAGCCAATAAATACTGAGTTTGAACAAGAATAAGTCCCTAGTCTTTATCTCTTCTCAGATACCTGTTCAACATCTAACAGGGGACAAATATATCCCTAGGGCCAAGTATTTAAGTTTTAGGAGCACAGAACACAGTGTGGGTACCATGATGGATGGTGAAGAAAGCAATGTCATCATGTCTGAATGACACAAGTTTCCATGAAAAGATCATCAGGGATCTGCTAACCACACAAAACTTAGTTTATTAAGTTGACTGAACAAGGGAAAACAGAACGTTTACCAGAGTACCCTTAGTTCTCATGGGGAAAATTTAGGGAAAGGTACTGCTAGGTTTTTTGGTTGGGAGAAGGCAGACAAAGTGGTTTTAGAGTAAAGTTAGTAAGCATGGTCTGGGCAGGTGTTGTTCAGAATTGATAAACAGGAAAATTAGTAGAACAGGTAATAGTCTTTTCTCTGAAATACATGAGTTCAGACTGAGGGTATAGCCACTTATCTATGGTTTTATCTTTGAACGTGTGGGTCTGAATAAGATGACATTAAAACATTTTGGTCTTAAATAGTTTGTGTTGCATGCCATGATTTAGTTCAGTTTACACATTATGCAAATCAGAGCACAGTTTGTTTTGTAAATTGTCATTTCTACTTTAACTTCTCAGAATGTATGTTTTTGCCTCACTGCAGTGGTGACTTTCTAAAAAAAGAGACTGAGAAAAATATTTTTGTATTTGAAGGGAAAATTTCAAACTTTTATGTGAAAAAGCAATGCTGTTATTGTCTTACGCATTCTATCCAGGCAGCTTACTAAGGAAATACCAGGGAAAAACACATCGGATACAGACAGATTGAGGGTAGTTTTCATTTCTGGAATATATCAGATGTATTTTCTTTTTTTTCTTTTTTTTGAGACAGAGTTTCACTCTTGTTGCCCAGGCTGGAGTGCAATGGTGTGATCTCGGCTAACTGCAACCTCCACCTCCCGGGTTCAAGTGATTCTCCTGAGGTAGCCTCCCAAGTAACCGGGATTACAGGCATGTGCCACCACACCCAGCTAATTTGTATTTTTAGTAGAGATGAGGTTTCACCATGTTGGTCTGGCTGGTCTCGAACTCCTGACCTCAAGTGATCCACCTGCCTGGGCCTCCCAAAATGCTGGGATTACAGGTGTGAGACACGTTGCCCAGCCTCAGATACATTGTCATAAGAGATTTATTTCCAGGAACACCTGGCATTTTAAATGATTCAGCCATAGTTTATCATTCTGTTTCTTAATAATGTCATCAATGGCTGGAAATGCTGGCCATCCTGAATCTAAGTACGGTACCGTAAGCATTCCAGAATATGATAGAAGCAATGACATACACAGTGAGGAACAATATAAATAGGACTTTTTACTCCTGGTGCACTGGCAGGGAGAACTTGAAATATTTCAGAAAAGAGGTAAGATAGGAAGTGGATATAACAAAGACACTGCTATACCAGGGAATCCCCTAATTCCCTAACAACAACAACAACAACAACAACAAAGCAGGAAACACAGAGATTTAGTTTGTGATTGAATCATTATAAACATCTCTGAGGAAGCTTGACTGCAAAAACATGTCCATAGCTTTATTATAATAATCATATTAAAGAAAAATAATTGACCAGTCTCCCTATTCAGAAACTATTGTTTCAGAAAGTAATTAAGGATATTTGGCCATAAGTATTTGAATAAACAGATTACTTGCTGGCTTCAAATACCAGTAAAAACAAAGTATAGCAAGTATTTAGACAAAGCCCAACACAGAGGCAATTAGGATCATTTATGATTCCAAATCACAGCATATGCAAAAATCTATTACTGTAGTTTATTTCATGAAAAGTATAACTTACCACTATTTCATGAGAATAATTGTTTTTATTATTTTCTCTGTGGCCAAAGGAATTTGATAAACGTCAAATGACTCAGGTGCTCTTTAGAGCCTACAATGAATTATATATTTATTCTTCTTTTTCTTTTCTTTTCTTTTCTTTTTTTTTTTTTTTGAGACAGGATCTCACTGTGTCACCCAGGCTGAAGTACAGTGGGATGATCATAGCTCACTGCAGCCTCAAACTCCTGGGCTCAAACGATACTCTTGCCTCAGCCTCCAGAGTAGCTGGGACTACAGGTATGGGCCACCAGCCTTGCCAGATTCTTATAAATCTGATCTATACAATAACCCTGTAAGCAGAAAGAATTACCTCCATTTTCATCAAAAATATTTTTATTTCAAGAAACTTAACTCATACTATTTAAGAAAAAAGGGAAAATAATTAGCTCATATAACTAGGAAGTCCACCAGTGGCTGTTGCTTCAGGCATGGACAGATCCAGGGACTTAGATATAACTCTCTTTCCTTCCCTTTACAGTGCTTTCTTTTGTGTTTTGGCTTTATGTTCATTCTTCCCTGGCCACTGAAGCAGCCATTAGCCTATCTTGCAGCCTATCTTATCTTCCCTCAAAAAGTTAGAAAATCCCTTTTCTCTGACATGCTTATATCAAATCTCATAGTAAGTCTCTGAATGGCCTTGCTCAGATTAGTTTCTTATCTCTGAAAAGTCTCTATGGCTAAAGGGATGAAGCACTTTGATTGTCCCCCCTGAGCCATGTGGTCATACCTGTAGTTGGGGGATGGAGTGGTGATATTTCACAGTTGCACCGTCACCACATGATGTAGGGAAAGATTAATTCTTCAAGTAAAGCAATACTGAGCAAAGTATGTCCAATACATCTTTCATTGTGCAAATGAGAATACTTTAGCCCAGAAAAATTAAGAAAACTAATGATGAAGACTAGATACCTTTGGCATCAAGTTTAACTTCCTTTAGTCAGGTAATAATGTTTATCATGATGTAACTCTAGATTATCTCTAAGTTCACCTACTATACTCTCTTAAATACACTCCTCAAACAATAAATGTATTTTGGCTTTTCAGACCCCATAATTTCACTCGTCTTCAGATTTTCTACCTCTTTTCCACTGGAGTGTTCATGCTTATCTCTCAATTTTAACTTTTATGTCTCTATACCTTTCCTCCCTTATGGGGAGAAAACTAATCTAAAATGAAAGTATAGATACAAGGGATCAAAATAATCCTGGCAGTATTTGAATCCCTAAGGCCAGGTCTTTTTAAAGACAGCCACACTCCTATTCTTCCTGTAGCTTGGTTGTTTAATATTTATTTGTATTCCATTAGTCAATAAAGTGATTTTCTTCTTTTGAATAAATCAGTGAGAGCTGGCTTTTTGTCACTTAGAACTCAACTATGACTGATGGTTGCTGAACTATTATAGCTTCTAGCAGATAGAGTATGAGAGAGAGAGAGTCCTTGAAGATAAGGACTATGTGTTTTTTCTGTCTGTAATCCTATCAATTAGCCACAGGCATTCAATATATCTAAGTCAAGCCATATATGGTCACGATTATTTGTTGGACACATACTAAGCATGTGGGACTGCGTTTATCGTTAGGGAGATACCATGGCTGTCCTTATTTACTTCTTCAATCTCATCTCATAGCAACTTTAGTCTTTCTTCTTCAGACACATTGCTAACTTCCATCTTTGGAATTTGCAGAGGCTGGACTATTCTTTCTGACCTTTCTGCCTCTTAACTTGAGAAATCACCTCACTCCTTCAGGGAAGCCTTTCCTTACCTTCCTGACTTGATCAGGTCTCCCATACAGTTTCTCAGAGGACCATGCACCTGGTATCTTTAAATAACATTGGTTAGAACTACACTTTGATATTTATTGTGTTGATTATTTGCTTAATTTCTGTTTCCTCCAGTAGTTTAAAAACTTAAAGAGTATAAAGCTTCTGTTTATTTTCACACGTCATTACATCTCCAATGCCTAATAAAAATGCTTGGAACAGTAGAAGTCCAATATATATTGCTGGATGTTATGAATAAGATTGGGTCCTACTTTAAAGAGCTTATAATCAAGTTAGGAACTTGAGCTATACATATTTTTAAATGCCAGCTTTGAGTCCTCTATTTTTATTTGCTAAATCTGGAAACTATAGATGAGTCACAGAAACACTTAGAGGAAGTTTTATGAAGGAGACAGTACAAGAACTAAATGTTTTTGAAAAGGTATCATCAAGTGTGTTAATCTTCTTTTGTTGCAATAATAAATGTTCCTATTATCTCAGTGTTTTATAAGAGCAAACATTTATTTCTTACTTATATTACATGAAGGCTACGATATGGCTGTAGCTCCAATGAGTTCAATGCTGCTTGGCTAGACTTGGCTCAGTTCAGCTCCACTTGTTTTCTCATTCTGGAATGCGGCAAGAGGAATAACCAATATCTGGGATACATACAGACAAAGTGAAATTGTTATTACAGTCAAGCAAATTGACATATCCATCACACTCCATAGATACCTTTTTGTTGTTTTTTGCTATTTATTTACTTATTTCTTACTGATTGATTGATTTGTGGATAGGAATGTAGCTGTCTTTAGAAAGACCTGGCCTTAGGGATTCAAATACTGCCAGGATTACTTTGGTCCCTTGTATCTGTTCTTTCATTTTAGATTAGTTTTCTCCCCATAAGGGAGGAAAGGCTAGAGACATAGAGGCACAGAGACCTAAAATATATTCTCTGTTTTAATGGTGATTCTAGTGGGGCTAAGCTACATTATGCACACAAACTCTTCTCAATTCCATTAGTCAAGACAAGTCATGTGGCAAGTCAATACGAAAGAAAACATACTCATCTATCATACAAAAGGCATTCATGAACTTCTTTTTTTTTCCCCTCAAAATTGTTTTGGTTATTTGGTGTCTTTCTTAGTTCCATTTACATTTTATGATTTTTTTTCCCGTTTCTTTGAAGAATATCATTGGTATTTGTATAGGAATTGCATTTAATCTGCAGATCGATTTTGGTAGTATGGTCATTTTCACAATATTATTTCTTTCAATCCACAACATATCTTCCATTTTTTGTGATCTCTTCAATTTCTTTCATCAGCATTTTATGGTTTTTCATGTAAAGGTCTTTCACCGCCTTAGTTAAATTTATTTCTAGGTATATACCTAGAAATATTTATACCTAGAATAATAAATAAATAGAAGCTATTATTTTGTAGATTCTATAAATAGAATTCCTTAATTTCTTTTTCTGCTTCTTTGTGGTTAGTATATTACCAATTTTGTATGTTAATTTTGTATCCTGCAACTTTACTGAATTTGTTTATTAGTTCTAAAAGTTTTTTTGGTGGGGCTTTTAGGATTTTCTATATAAAAGTATTGTGTCATCTGCAAAAAGTGATAATCTGACTTCCTCCTTTCCAATTTGGATGCCCATTATTTATTTCTCTTGATTAATTGTTCTGGCGAGGACTTCCAGTAGTATGTTGAATAAGAGTGGTTAGAGCAGGCATTCTTGTCTTGTTCCAGTTGTTCGGTAAAAATCTTTCAGCTTTTCCCCATTTGGTATAATACTAGCCACTGGTTTGCTATATGTGGATTTTACTGTATTGAGGCACGCTCCTTCTATACCTAGTTTGTTGAGGGTTTTTATCATGAAGTGATGTTGAATTTTTTCAAATGCTTTTTTGCATCTATTGAGATGATCAGCTAGACCTCTTATGTCTCACTGTATATAAAAATAAAATCAAGATGAATTACAGACTTGACTTCAATGAAGACCTGATACTCTGAAACTACTAGAAGGAAATATTGGGGAAACACTTCATATCATTGATCTGGGCAAAAGTTTTTTAGAAAAGACTTCAAAAGCACAGGCAACAAAAACAAAAATAGACAAATAGACAAATGCTATTACATTAAGCTAAAAAGCTTCTGTGCAAGAAAAAAAAACAATCAACAGAGTGAAGAAACAACCTATAGAATGGAAGAAAATACTTGCAAATGATCCATCCAACAAGGGATTAATAACAAAAATATATAAGGAACTCTAACATTCAAATGCAAAAAAAAATCCAATTACAAAATTAGTAAATAATCTGAGTAGACATTTCTCAAAAGAAGACACACATATAGCCAACTGGCATATGAAAAAATACTCAACCTCACTAATCATTAGGAAAATGCAAATGAAACACACAATAAGATATCATTTACCCCAGTTAAAATGGCTATTCCCAAAAAGAGAAAAAAATAACAAATGCTGATGAGGATGTGGAGAAAGGGGAACTCTAGTATACTACCAGTGGAAATGTAAATTAGTACAGTCACTATGGAAAATGGTATGGAGTTTCCTCAGAAAACTAAAATAAATCTACCATGTGATCCAGTAATCTCACTGCTGGGTATATATATACAAATAAAAGGAAATTAGTATATCGAGGAGAAATCTGCATGCCGATGTTGATCGAGCACTATTCATAATAGCAAAGATGTGGAATCAGCCTAAGTGTCTACCAATGCATAAACAAATTATCTTTAAATGTGAGTTATATATATATACATATATACATATATACATATATACATATATACATACATATATACACACATATATACACATATATATATACATATATACATATATATACACATATATACATATATACATATATATACATATATACATATATATACATATATACATATATATACATATATACATAT
Source organism: Homo sapiens (assembly GCF_000001405.40). Classification (NCBI taxonomy): domain Eukaryota; kingdom Metazoa; phylum Chordata; class Mammalia; order Primates; family Hominidae; genus Homo; species Homo sapiens. The sequence goes on along the minus strand of NC_000011.10, from coordinate 49,241,500 downwards.
ATATACATACACACACACATATATATATATAGAGAGAGAGAGACAGAGAGAGAGAGAGAGAAGGGAAAAGAAGAGAGGTTGTTTAAACAAAACAGAAGAAATGAGTTCTAGTGTTCGATAGCACACTAGGGTAAATAACTACAGTTAACAATCATTTATTGTATATTGAAAAATAGCTAGAAAAGAAGATTTTAAATGTTCCCAACACTAAGAAGTAATCAATGTTTGAGGTATGAATATTCTAATTACCCTGATTTGAGCATTACACATGCTATGTATGTATCAAAATAGCACATGCACCCTATAAACATGTACAATTATTATGTATCAATTAACAAAAGATCATGGAAAGGGGAATTGTAAACAGTAACAAGGACAAAAATACAAATGTAAGAATATTCTTGTTAAAAACATTTTTGGGGACTTCAGCTTATTTTTGATTAAACTTTCTATTCCATAGTTTATTGAGATATCCTTAGATTTTACCCATTGTCTGTTCCCCATGACCAGGATCTTATCTAGGATATCATATATTTAGTCATTATGTCTTCTTAGGCTCCTTTAGGTTATGAAAATTTTTTCAGATTTTTCTTATTTTTGATGACCTTGTTTTTTAAGTTATTTTTCTTGTGTAACAAAGCTGCACTTGTACCCCTGAACTTAAAAATAAAAGTTAAAATAAATAAATAAAACTTTTTTTCTTGTTTTTTTTTATTATTTTTGATAACCTTGACTGTTTGGAGGTATACTGGTCAGGTATTTGTATAATGTCCCTCAACTGAGGTTTTACAGATTTTTAAAAAAATCATAATTAGAATAAAATTATGGTATTTTGGAAGAATGACCAAAGGCATGAAGTGCCATTTTCATCACAGTATATCAAGGATACACATGATCAAGATGACTAATAACCATTTATATTTACTTTAATCTCTTCACTGAAATACTGTTTGTCATACTCTCCATTATAAAGTTAATCTTTTCCACCTCTTTCCATACTGTGCTCCCTGAGAAAATGTCACTATGAACAGTCCACACTTAAGATAACAGTTATTCTGTACCTTTTTAAGGGTGGAATACCTACATAAATTATTTAGAATTCTTCTGCAGGGGAGAGTTGTCTACTCTCCATCATTAATTTGTTTTTTAAATAATATGTGTCAATATGGACTCTGTTTTTTAAATAAAATGTTTTATGAAGTTAAACTCTCAAATTTTGTGCCAACTCAGATTATTTAGAATCAAAATACAAGGAAACAAATAAATACATATATACTTACATGCATGCATAACAAAGTTTCTAGATATGCTAAACTCTTGTTTTATTTTCCTATATGCTTGTAAGGAAGGCTTGTCTAATAGCATATGAGCCTTTCTCCCTCACATATTGCTACTTTATTTTTAAATAAAAATTGTATACAGTCATGGTGTGTGTGTATATATATATGTGTATATATATATGTATATGTGTGTGTGTGTGTATATATATATATATATATATATGACTTTTACAGTCAAGTAATGTACATATTAATGTCTTCACATAGTTTCCTTTTTATGTGTTGTGTTGTTAGGGCACCTGAAATCTACTCTCAGCAAATTTCCAGTACACAATACAGTATTATTAACTTCAGCCATCATGCTGTACATTAGATTTCTAGACTTATTCAGTCTTTGACCAGAATATTCCCATTTCTCCCACCTCCTCGGCCCTGGTGTAACCACTTTACCCTGCTTCTATTTACCCATTTTTTAGATTCCACAGGTACATGAGATGGTGCAGTATTTTTCTTTCTGTGTCTGGCTTATTTCAATTGGCATAATGTCCTCCAGGTTTATCCATGTTGTCATAAATAACAAGATCACCCTTCTTTGAAGCTGAATAACATTTGTGTGTATGCGTGTATTTATATGTATATATACCACAATTTCTTTGTCCATTAATCGTCAGTGGACACTTTAGTTGCTTCCATATCTTGGCTATTGTGAATAATACTGGAATGAATGTGGGAGTGCAGATATTTCTTTGACATACTGAGTTCATAAGGTTTGGTCATATGCCCAGATGGATCCTATGGTAGGTCTACTTACAATGTTTTAAGGAACATACATACTGTTGTTCATGGTGACTATACCAATTTACATTCCCACCAGCAGTATACAAGGGTTGCCTTTTCTCCACATCCTTGCCAATACTAATCTTTTTGATAATAACTATCTTAACAACTGTAAGGTGACCTCGTTGTGTTTTGATTTGCACTTCCCTGATGATTTGTGATGTTGAGTGCTTTTTCATATACCTGTTATTTATATGCCTTTTTTGGAAAATGTCTTCAGGTCATTTGCCCACTTTTAAATCAGGTGTGTTTTTTTGTTTGGTTTTGTTTGTTTGCATGTTTGTTTTTTGCCATTGTATGAGTTTCTTATATTTTCTGATATTAATCCATTGTAAAATACATAGTTTGCAAATGTTTTTTCCTAGTCAATAGGTTGTCTTTTTTTGTTGACTGTTTCCTTTACTATACAGAAACTTTTTAGTTTGATGTCCCTCTTGCTTATTTTTGCTTTTATTGCCTGGGATCTTGGTGCCATATCAAATAAATCACTGGCAAGGCCAATGTCACGGAGTATTTTTTCCTATATTTTCTTCTAGGAATTTTATAGTTTCAGGTCTTATGTTTAAGCCTTTAATCAACTTTGAGTAGTTTTTATGTTTAGTGTTAGATAAGGATTCAATTTTATCCTTTTACGAGTGGATATCTAATTTTCCTAACACCATTTATTGAAGTGACTATCCTTGTCTCATTTTGTTTTTCTTGTGACTTTGGGAAAAATTAGTTAACTGTTTGTGCTTGGGTTTATATTCAGGCTTTCTAGTATGTTTCATTGGTCTATGTGTCTGTTTTTATGCCCATACCATACTGTTTTGATCACTATAGCTTTGTAGTATAATTCTAAATCAAGAAGTGTGATTTCATGTTTTTTCTTCTTCGTCAAAATTGCTTTGGCTATTCAGGTGCTTTTGTGGTTCCAAACAAATTTTAGAATTATTTTTGCAATGGCATATGAGCTTTGAACAGTGTGCTATTCAGGTGGATAGGGAGAACTTAAATAATAATGACTTTTAAAAAGCAGGTGTATATTTTTTCCCAATAGTGTTTATTCAGCTGCCAAATGTGGAAATGAATTACCACTGTAGATTGATATTGACAGAAATAGCAATAAATAGGAAGACCCAGCTCCTCTTCTTTTACCTCCTAATATTTCTCTAGTGCTGAAAAATAGGTCTCTGAAATACAATTTGTACAGTCCTAACCTAAGCATCACAAAGTTGAGTACAGGAATATGGATCTGGAGCCAAGGACCCATAGGTAAATGACTAGTACATCTTCCCCCCGAGCCCCTCTGTCCTCTCCAGGTCTGCCATACAGATGCCATCTATTTGCTTCCGTATGGCAGACCTGATTGCATTTTCTGGGTTACATATCTTCCTCTTTCTTGAATTAGATACTCTTCTGGTATATATTTTTCTGTGGTTTAGGAGACTATTCTAACGGCCGGATATTATTACTGGAACACCACTCTCCAAAGTCTTCTTCCTTCAGTGACTTCACATGACACTTTAAAGCTCTTGGAGCTGGAAATTCACTCTTGGGAATTCTCTCTCTCTCTCTCTCTCTCTCTCTCTCTCTTTTAAAGAGTCTCACTCTGTCACCCAGGCTGGAGTGCAGTGGTGTGGTCTCAGCTCACTGCAACTTCTGCTTCCCCAGCTCAGGTGATCCTTGTGCCTCAGCCTCCCAGGTAACTGGGATTACAGGTGTGTGCCACCATGCCCAGCTAATTTTTGTATTTTTAGTCAAGACAGGTTTCCGCCATGTTGGCCAGGCTAGTCTTGAATTCCTAGCCTCATGTGATCTGCCTGCCTCAGCCTCCCAAATTGCTGGGATTACAGGCGTGGGCCGCCACGCCCGCCCCATCTTAGGAATTCTCTATGTCTTCTTCTATATTCATATTATCTTCCATTACCTACCCCCACCCACCACACACACAATCATAAGGAAAACGTAAAGAATAGAGAAATAAAGGAAAGATCGTTTCTTCAAATGTCCAATAAATTGTCATATAGAAAAGGCATTAAAGCCAGTATCAAAATATCACATGTACCCCATAAGGATATATACATCTACTATGTACACCAAAAAATTAAGAATAATTTTTAAAAATAACAAATAAAAATGTGAATAGCTAAAAAGAAAATAAAAGGCATTAAAGCCATTATCTTTTGCTCCACGGAGCTGAGATAGAACTGATAGATACAATTATGAGGTCAAATTTGCCATAACATAAAAATAAAACTTAAACAATTTACTCAATGCATTCTTTAAATAAATATGTATTAAACAACTATTACATGTTAATTATTCTTCTTGAAGTGGGGATATAACACTAAACAAGATGGAAAATTTCCCTCCGTATAGATTTTGTAAAGCAAGTTTATTTCAGAGACTACTAAGTTTTTTAAAGAGAATGAACAGACTTCTATAATAAAGTATATTGATGGAGAGGGCAGAAAAGTCATTCTAGAAATGAAAACTTCTAAAACTAGTAAGAATCACCTAATCAGATAGTGAGCACTTTGCCACCATAAACATTCATACTGTGTAGTATCATTGACTTTAATTGAGAACATCTATCTGCTCAGTGTTATCCTAAGTGCTTCACAATTCACTTAATCTTCAAAAACAAGATAAAACAATACAAATTTAAGAAAAACTATCTTGTGGATACAACTATGGTTCTGATTTTACACATGAAAAAATAAAAGAGTAGAAAAGTTAATGAACTCATCCAATGTTACAAACTGGGAAGCAACTGAGCCAAACTGAACTCATATGGTCAGATTCCAGAACAAGTGCTCTTCATCATGACACTCAGAGGCCACTAGGTTTGTTGACCATAAGCATGGATGCTGTTCATTCATTTAACATTCAACATTCCTATCCAGTGCCTGCTTTATGTCGTCTGCGGAGCACGACACTGGAAACAGAGCCCTGAACAAAACCGCCGTTAAGTCCCAGCTCTCACAAAGCTCACAGCATATGCTTTCAGGATGTCACTGGTTGGGTTCTCTGGGAAGACGACACTGAAGTAGAGTCATAAGGGAAAAGTTTCATAAAGGTATGAGACCTGTGTGAGGAAAAGGGTAAAAAACATACTATAAAACAAATGGAAAACATCAGATTAATTCTTGAGAGGCAGACTAGAACTCTTCAGAAAGAAGCAACTCTTGCCAATAAATGAGATTTTAATAAAACCTTAATGTACCTTATGTTGTATTTGATTTGCTAAACACTTGGATTTCTTAGAGACGCTGCACTTACTTTTATAGCCATATTGTTCTCCTTTCAGTAACGGTAAGGTCAAAAGAAACACTACTTCAGATTTTGGGAAAAAAAAAAGAAAGCCAATGTAAAAGATTCTCAGTTCAAACAGAACTTAGTGCAGGTTGGTGAGAAGAAATATCAACTCTTTCCAAATCAAAAGAGAAATACAATATTCCAAGTCACTTCAGGAAGGATCAGAATTTGTAAGTAATATTTGTGTAATGGAATTCATTTTATTGTGGTCTTGTTCTACCCAAATGCACAGGCTGGAAGTGGAATGAAAATTCTCTTTGAAACCACTACTGGTCAAGAACACTATCCTGTGTTTCCAGACCTTAGGAATTTCCTGGGAAGCTTAGAGGAAGGTACCCAGACAGCACAGGGGTACTAAACAAATCTCATGGCACAGGTAAGCAGTATTTCTGCTGGGAGGTCCTCACACATGGAGAGGCAAGTGGTAATGGTTTGTTCTGTCCGATGGTGCTGAGAACAGCCAACATGTACCCTTGACAGAGGTTATGTGCAGAAATGCCTATGTAAATAGCCACAATAGGACTACGAGCCTTATTCTGGCATCCATATGGCTGCCTGGCAGTTATGATTGATATGTGCTTTGCAGTCTCTTGATGATAATTCTGCTTCTGTCCTCATACCATGTCCCCTTCCCCAATGCTCCTTCTTCTTAGGCCCCTATGACTTCTTTCATGCTAAATTTCTATTCAGATCTACCTGCTCTACTCCAACTTTCTGCTCAGGAATTTCATCTAGTCTCCCCCAGGAGTAGGGCTAGTCTGAGACTTACCATAAAAGAAAGAGCTAAGATCATATAGTATAAACTTTCAGTTATTAGATGAATAAGTTCTGGGGATGTAATGGACAACATAGAGACTGTAGTTATTAATACTGTATTGTATACTTTATATTTGCTAAGAGAGTAGATCTTAAGTGTTTGTACCACAAAGAAAAAATGGTAACTATGTGAGGTGATGGATATGTTAATTAACTTGATTGTGGTCACCATTTTACCATGTATATATATCAAATTATCATGTTGTACATCTTAAATATATGTAAGTTTTACTTGTCAGTTATACCTCATTAAAGCTGGGTAGCGGGGAATAGAGCTAAACTAATGAGTTTGGCCCACTGTTCATCAGCATTTGGCTTTACCAAGAAGCATTTTGGATGTTACCTATCTGCATGTAGATAAGTTTCACTCAGATTGGTCTCCTATTCAAATGTCCCATGGGCTCATTCTTTTGCTAATAGGTGGTGGGGAAAGTAAGCAGTGTAAGTTATAACCTAAAAGAGCTACTTCACTATAAACTTTGTAAATGATGGAGACACAAACATAAATGTCTTATGCTTGTGTGGAATACAGCCATGCTAATATTGGGAAAGAGGTATTTTTCCCACTTCTCCATGAAGAAATGCAGCTCAATTTCAGTCATTGACTGAGGACCATAGTGAGATTGGTTGGGTGCCTCCAGGACTCTCACATATAAGGGGTACCTGTACTCAGTAGTGAGTGCCAGTTATACCCAGCATATCCAGGAACAGAGAACTGGAGCATATGGGGAGAGGAAAAAGACCTGAATAGAGGTAATGAGGCAGCTGACCAAATAGAATTTTGCAACAGAACAATGGTGGGGCCTTTTTTGGGAGACAGGCTGATGACAGGAGGTGAGGGCAAGGTGAAACACAGACTGCGGACAGGTGAATAGGAGAGATGAGCAAAAGATAATGTAATGAATCTTAAAATTGCAGATGTACTGAGACAATAACCAATAAACAGAACACAAGTAGACATTTAATCACAGGGTAAATCTGGCCAAAATGGCCATATCGAGGGGTGACACGGGATTAAGAAAATAATAAGTCTGAGTTTGATTGCTTGTGCTTGGCTACTGTTAAGATATATCTTATGCAGAATGAACTTGCCAAAAATAAGATGAAACAACATAAAATTTAGTTTTCTGGCATGTACTGCCAACAGGAAGAAATAGAAGTGCTTTTAGGATGCTATCCTGATAACTTATGTTCCTGCCTGAGCTTGAACAGTGAAAACACAAAGGCAACAGCTTTGCCCATGAATATGTACCTATTATAGAAGTGAAGCACAGGACATTGGAAGGCCAGGAGGCAACCTCGATTCTCCAGGAAATGTGCATTCACTGCAAAACAGCTATTACGGGATGTAGTATGTTCAAAGGGCAAGGATGTCTGCATGCGTCATAGGAAGCTGAGTGTTTGGGATTTAAATGTGGACTTTGACTTGAGGTCTGGTGATTCTACTTCCTGACTGTAAAAAGGGACAAGTTTCATCATTGTATCCATGAGATATGTGGTTAAAATTCCTCTTTATTGACCGTAAGCTTGTCATCTATTTGAAAGATTGCCTGGGCTCCTAAAGTTAAAAATATTACTCTTAGTACTTTTGATTTTTGTGGCTCTTGAAGAGGTAGTGAAAATCAGTGCTTAGAAGCCTCTTTTCATTAAAACAAATAAAAAATGGTAGAAGGAGAGAGGAAAGATTGCAACTACAAAAAAGAAAGAAGCTGTTAATCTAAACTTTCGTGATGGTTAACAGTGTTTTGCTTATGTATCACATATTTTGAGAGCACATGAGGATATTAGAAAATAGCAGAAGGCTATCTAGTAGCCAGTGAATTCTTGGAAAGCAGGAGGTGCAGAGATGATAGAATAAGCAACAAGAAGACAAGTAGAGAAGCGATCTCATCATGGGTACCAGGAAGATGGCTTCAGTGGTTTTAACAAGGAAAAACAACATGATGGGCATGGTGGCACATGCCTTTAGTTCCAGCTACTCAGGAGGCCAAGATGGGAGAATTGGATTGCTTGTGCCCAGGAGTTCAAGGCTGCAGTGAACTATGATTGCGTCACTGCACTCAAGCCCGGGCAACAGAGTGAGATCTTATCTCTTAAACAAACAAACAAATAAACAAATAATCCTACGCTGAAAAGCCTCTTTTCTTTTCTTGTACTCCCAAGTAAGTTAACTCACACAAAGCCAGGAACATCACAGCATGGTTGTAGAGTCGGGGAAAAACTTAGGGGAGGGTATACATCAACTTTCCATATCATCCTCTGTGTTAATCATAAAATGTGTGGTTTTTGTTGATACACGCTGATCTTCCTCTGTCCCTGTAGTACCTGATATATGTGTTGTATGAGAATGCTGCCTAATTTATGCGCTACACATACACTACTAAAACACCCAAAGCGAGATTATTTATAAAATATGCTCTCAACAACTTTCAAAGTCATACAATATGAGATAAAAGTTGCAAGCACTGTGCACTTTGGAAATTTGTAACGAGCTAATATTTTACCAAATTGCTAGGTAAAATAAACTTTATTCAATATGTACATATGTAACCAAATGTATCAGTGGGATTATACGGGATTAGTTCTCTGGGAAGCAGATTCTGAGAAGCAGTTTAGCTTGCAAGATGTTTATTAAGGAGTGTCCATGGAGTCCACATCTGCTGAAGGAAGGGGAAGGAAGCAGGAAGCAGCAGGGAGAAGTTGATGGGCAAAGTAATCTCAATAGCAGCCTCCACCAACCCTATGGGGAGCTCTGAAGCTATCAGGGCCCTTCATTGTTGTCCAGACTCGGGCCAGTTTGGCCAGGCCTTCTATATGGAGTGGTCATTTTATCCAGGCAACCCTCTGGAGGGTGTGTGGTTGGTTATGGCCGCTCTGTAGCTGGGGCAATCTCTGAAGGGGCTGAGCACTAAAATTCTGCAAGTAGCATCAGTCCTAGGCTGTCAGGCAGAACAAGGCACGGGTGCTTCATCTTGAGGGAGTGGAACTCTGCGTTTTTCAAATCAAGCCTGTAATAAAAATGATCCCTTAGACCATATAGTGCTATATATATCTATATCTATATAATCTCATATGATGCTGCCAAGTAGGTACAATAGGTAGAATTCTCCAATTGTATAGATGAGGGAAAAAAACACATGTGACTGAGGTTACATAGCAAATAAATGACAGAGCCAGAACTAGACCTTGTATTTTTTAACCTACAGTCTAATCTTGTGTTTTGTATGCTTGTTTGTTTTCCTGCTCCAGACTTGTCAACAATAATTATGGCTGTTATTTTCCGAGCACTTTACGTGTCAGGCACAATGCCGAGTTTTTCAGATACTCCCTGTCCTGTAATCAATTTTTTGTCTTTGCTGCCCCCTCTGTCAGAAAGAAAAAAAAAAACTCATTGTATTTAATAAGCAAGGAAACTGAAGCTTGGGTAGAAGAAACACAGCACCTTGCTGATGGTCACATAGCTACCAAGAGGTAGAGCCTGGACCCACAGTCATGTCTGCCTGGCTTCAGCTTTTCCTAACCCCTCACTTGGGCAGCTTGTATATCTCTGGCAGCTGCCATCTCAGAAGTTTCTTCCTCAAGAGGTTTTGTTTCCTTGAAACAAAAAGCAGTTTGACTTAGAAATATCAAGACAGTGCAATGAAAGATCTTGCACTATTGCCCTTTTAGGGTCTATGATATCTATGATTGGAATGTGATATTATTTTGTGTAACCTATACATGCTGAGTTTAAATCTCATGCCAGTCATTTTGGAGCTGAGCTCTCTATAAGGCAGTTTTTCTCAATTTCTACCCTACTAAACATACTCAGTAACTGTGGATAGGGTTCTATGCATATCTACCTTCGGTCTTCCTCTTGTTTCACATGTTCAGAAGAATTTTTCTCCTGAACATTGACAAATATTATTTTAAAACTTTCACACAATTCAGGATGCTCAAATATATTTCTCATTGTATTTGAGCATCTTAGAAACTAAGATACTCTTGAAAAACATTAATTCCATCTTCCACTACAAGCGCTTATTCCGCCCCTTGTTTCTTTTTCCTTCCTACCTTCTTTCCTCCCTCCCACCATTCCTTTCTTCATTCCTGCCTTCCATTCTTCCATGTAATAATAATTCAGTGTGGCTGCTAATCATGAATGTGACCTTTGAGAACTCACTGTTTAGCTGAGGCAAGAGCCCATATAGGTGTTAAACAACTAACATATAAGAGTAACAATGTGTCACAGAACATACATAATGTATATTTTAATGTCAACTCACAGAGATCATAAAGAACAATTTCCTAAGAAACACCTGAACTGACTCCAGTAGAACCAAAATACATAAAGAAGGAAGGGGAGAGGAGAAAATTTTGTAAATTTCAAAGAGAAATCAATAGATTAATATTAATTCAGTCTCACCTCCCAGCAAATCATTCTACTCTGTTGCTAAGCAGTAAGTATAGACCATATGCACTTCTCCAGTTTAATATGTAGTCTCAAACCTCTTTTTCTTTGCCTCTGCTGCCCCCTCTGCCTGGAATAGACTCCCAACCTCCCATGCAAACCTTCCTGACTATTTTTGAAGGTCAGCTCAAGGGTAAGTCTATACCATCCTCTGTGAAGCCTGGCTGCCTTCCTCTAGCCTCCCACAGTGTGTTGCACACAACTCCACTGTAACGGTCACCACTTTGCTGTGTAAATGCTTGTTCCTGCTCTCTCTGTGCCACACTGTGTTATCTGTTGTTTCAATCCCAGAACATCAACAGTGTGGAGCATTTAGTAAATACTCAAGATATGTTTCAGGATTAGATAATTCTATAAAAGCACGTGTCAGCTTGTTCTATATAATAATTTGGGTATTAGGATAGTGCCTCTAAGTGTTAAAGGCTCCATATAATTCAGACTGTTCTCAAAAATATTTACTCTGTGGTTCGACTCTGAGTAAAATAATGACAAAGAAAATGGCTGAGAATACAAGAACCCACACTATGGAAGGAACTACATGCAATGAAAATAGCTAACTGAAACATAAATATGCACAGAAAGAGATAAATGAGGCATTCATACAACAACAGTGTCTGAGTCTACCACAAGTGGGTTATGATTACGGCACGCTGTGGAGCAGCATGAATAAAAGATTAAGTGGTGCATATTTTAGGTAGGTGGATGGGTGAACATTGCAGAGAACTGGTTTTTTTAAAAAAGCAAGCATATTCAGATTAGGTATTCAGAAATACCTAATATAAATAATTCATTTTCCTCTGAGAGTGAAACCCCAAAAATGACAGTCACTAAAAGTATATTTACATGACACCTTAAACAAATTTTGTGTAATGTTTTTATAATAAAAAAATGAAGCAATCTCTAGATGGAGAAGGTATTTCACACAATGTGTACCACCAATATACAGAGACTGTGTAGAAGTGAGAGTGACCATAAAGGTTTCCCCACTTCATGGTAGGTCAAAGCCTAGCAGAGACTGTGTTTAGAATAAAATAGAGTATGCAATAGGTACTCATTATTCTCACTTATGCTGACTTCCCAAATCATCCCTGGTAGTAAAGTCTTCTGGCTACTTTCCAAGAAATTAGCAAAAGAAGGGAATAGAATCACTGGATGTTAGAGCTTGAAGATTGTGAGGTTCTTTGGCCACCCTTATTTTCAGATGAGGATATCTTTCACAGCCCAGAAAGGTAAAGAAATCTACCAGGTGGTCAAATATTTTAAAATGACAGAATTGGGGCTAAAATACAGGAGTCTCAATTCCCAGTCCAGCGCTCTTTCTTACACACTAAGCCATGCCAAAATCCACTCTAAAATAAAACCCTAAAGCTACTAGCCTTAACATTTATAAGGTGTTTCCGCAAGGACATAGGTTTTGCTCCATGTGTTTTTGCTCCATAGGTTTTGCCTCATGTGAGGTCTTTGTTTCCTTCTTGTTTAAAGAAAGAGTGACCTGGACAACAGTCTCATAGTGACATCTGGTGACTAAGTCAGGGTAATACAAAACATAAGAAGAAGAAAAATAAAGTATCAATGTGCTTTTGTTTGTTAAGATTTAGGTAGGACAATTAAATCCAAAACTTAGAGGACACATTGTAATTCCTTAAGATTGTGTTTCATGGTTCCCTTCTTCTTTAATATATCTACAAACAAGGTGATGTTTTATATTAATTCTCTTTTTGTAATAACAGTGAATTATTGCCAATCTTGTGGCATCTGAGTCTACATAAGCTATTCAACAAAGATTTATGAGAACCTACTATGTGACAGAAGCAGTTGTAGCTCCTCGGGACACAAAGCCTAGTTGTGGAATTAACCCAATACAGCAAACTATGAAATAATGTGATAAGAGCTAGAGTTAAGACACACATAAAATGTGCTGAGGAAAGAGTGACTGACTGACTGGTAAGTCAGAAATGCTTTAGAGAAAATGAGACCTTTTTAACTTAGCCTTTAAAAGTTATTAGGAGTCCACCTGACTTAAAAAAAACAAAAATTCTCAATTCATTCTCTCAAATATAACAAAAAGCATCCAAAAATATATTTTTATTAAAATTCATTCCATGAGTGTGATTTTCAGTGACATTGCTTCGTTATTGATTAGCTTAGTCCTTGCAAAGAAAAATTATATGTTGCTGCTTCTGGTCAATAACACAGGTAGAGAATACCTAGTATCCTCAATATCTTCTATTTCCTATTTCAATTTCTGGTACAGAGGTCTGGGGAAGAAACCCTAGAGTTGCCTGCCTTTAAGTATTCAATTGTTACTTATATAGGGTCTTCTATATATCAGGTTCTCTTTACGGTGCTGGAAATGAAACAGTGAACAAAATCCATGCCCTCATTGTACATATATTCTAGAGGGGAAAACAGTCAATACATAGATATGTCACATATGTAGTAGGTTAGATGGCTGTAAATAGGAAGAGAACTGTGCAGGGATGGGGTTTGATAGTGCTGGGGTAGGAAAGCGTAATCTTAGATACGGTTGCCAGGGAAAACCTCCCTGAGAAATTGGCATTTGAGGAAAGGCCTGAAGGATGTGATGGAAAAAGATAAGCAGATATTTTGCAGATATTTAAGGAAGAGAGCTCCAAGAAGAGGGACAATCAGAACAAAAGGCCTTTGCTGGGAATGTGCTAAGAGTGGAAGCACACCAAGGAGGACAGTGTGGCTAATGAGTGAAGCCTGAAAAAAGTAGAAGAAATTAGGTCTGAAAAGAAGTGGGGACCAGATCATGTAGGGCCTTGTTAGCCTTGATAAGGAGGGTGGTGGGAATCACTGTAGACTTTGGGACACAGAGGTGACAAGACCTCTAACCCAGATGCTATGTTCAGAACGGATAATAAGGAAGCAAATGCTGAATCAGAAATACCAAAAGTAAAGCATCGTATTTATCCAAGAGACAGCTGATGGTCATTTCAAGAAAAGTTAGCAGTGGAAGAGGAGTAATTAGATTCTTGACACATTTAAAAGGCATAATTAACACGACTGATCGATCAAATATGCATGGGGAAATTAGAAAAGTCACTTCGAGAGTGACTCTGAATTGCTTAGGCAATGGGAAGAAATAGACATTTAATGAGATAGAAAATGTGCAAGAGAACCAGGTTTGGAAGAGCAGGACATCAAGAGTCCAACTTAGGATATATTAAATTTGATGTGTCTATTAATTGTTCAGGTAAGGATGTTTAGTAGGAGTTGAATAGAATCTCGAGTTCAAGGGAAATAACATTTGACCATCATCAATATTCAGATACTATTCAAAGGCTATGTGATATCACCTTGTGAGTGAATGCTGATAGAGAAAGGATCTAAGGACTGAACCCTAGTGAACTCCAGTGGAGGGATGAGATAAATGAGTAAACAGAGCTTAGGGGAACATCTAAAGTGAATAGGAAAACTGAGAGTAGCTCCCAGAAGTCAAGTGAAGAAAGTATTTCAAGAAGGAGAGAATTACCCTCTGAATCAAAGATACCGAGAGGCTGATTAAGACAAAGACTAAATTTATCACTGAATTTAGCACTATGGAAACCATAGGTAATCTTGAGAAGAGCTTGTTTTCTTAGTATAGTAAACCTTTTGAAGTAGATTCAAATGAGAATGGGAAGAGAGAAAAGGGAGAGAAGCAACATAAGAAATCTCTTTTAAGGAATTTTATAGAGAGAGAAACAGAGGAATCAGTTGATAGTTGGAAATTATTTTAAAGAAAATGGGTTATTTTAAAGAAAAAAGATATTACAACATGTTTGCACTATTGTGGGAATAATCAAGTTGAGACAGAAAATTATTTTTTAAGGAAGAGTCTAATTGCTGAAGTGAAAGAGAATGAGACCCTGTGCATAGGTGTGATCAGATAGGAGCATGTACAGCTCAAGTAAGAAAGGAAGGAAGAGACAATAAACATGTACAGATAGGATGGGCTGGTCGATGTGGTGGTGAAAAGACGTGCGAGTTATTACTGATTACTTCTATTTCCCCAGTGAAATAGGAAGCCAGGTTCATAAACCAAAATGAAGAGGAGCGAGGCAGTATTGGAAGTTCAGGAAAAGTAATAGGTGTAAAAATATATAAAGTAGGATTACCAGGGAGTATGAAGATACATTTCCAATTAAGGATGAAGAATTTAAAGTGAGGCCAACCAATACCCCTGCTTTGCTTCAGCTACATCAGCTGCATAGGTTCAGGCACAGAATACATGGAACATTGTATTTAAATAGGGTCTGGATTTTACAAAAGTAACACAATGAAGAAGAGAGATGCAAAGCCATTTGAGGGTGTTTGTGGGAGAGATTGTAAAATATTAGCTAAGTAAGAAGGGGACTGCAAATTTTAGGGGTATAAAGGAATGAGGAAAAGTGTAAATACAGTTGGGTCAAAGAATGTTTGGAGCCAAGGCACTAGAGGCAATTAGCTGAAAATGGTAGGTAATTATTGGTGAGTGACATGGTTTAAATGAAAAGTATAGAAGGGTACAATTATCCATCATGAAAAGTTCTAGGGTACAACTAAGATCTGAGTAGCTGAAGTAGAATGAAAGTAGAATGGACTTTTCCATATCCAGCCAGGTTCAGTGACAGAATGTTAGGAAACAAATTATCAACCACGTGAGAGAACATATCCCCTAAGTTGTTTTTGCTATTTTCCTTTCAGCATATATTTGTTGGAATGCCAACTATATTCAGCTCAATTAATATGGGCTTCTTAAATAAGGGCTCCAGCACTGGATAATCCTGCCATTTATTTCGATACATTCCATCCTGCTGCTCAGATCTGTTGGCATCTACAGCATGTCTTTTGAGAAGATGGGCATTCACATCCTTATGTCCTGGAAAATTTCCAACTGAGAAAACCACATTAGGCTTTTCTATATATCTTCCAACTATTTCAAAGGAAAATACAATTCTCTGATTTCTTCCTGTGATATTTATCAGAGAGAATGGTGCCTGCCAGTTCTAGGGTGGGGGAACTCAATACAAATCACCAACCTTTAGATGACACCCTGTCTTCAAAGTGCTTTCAAAGTCTGGCAGAGGAAAAGTACGCAGTGGCTATAAGACCACCCAGGAGTTCAGTCATGCATTCTAAGTAGCAGATCACTCGAATGTAATTGGCTAGTGAGTTCATTTTACTCTTCTCTTCTTGGTCACATGTTACCGCCCTTGTACCGTGCACGTTCTCTTTCCCAGACTTACAAAGCATGTTCTCTTGAATTCGTTCTCTTTTTAAATTCACACAGTCTTAATGATTCTTCTTTCACAAGAGTCTTTCACTCTTACAATTCAATTCGAGTCATCCACATGCTTATTATGAGCAAGGGTCTGGGACCTAGGGGAAAAGGGAATAAAAAGATGAATGAAATTTGATCCCTGCAGTCCAAGAGCTTGCTGTGAAAAAGGAAGTTTGGCTTACATTGCCTCCCTAATCCCTTGGCTAGGCCAGAACAGAATATTGTCTAAAACCTCCTCACGTCAGCAGTCCTCTGGAGTGGTGACTGGAAGTAGAATTTAAACAAAAATATAATTGACACATAATAATTGTGCATACTTATAGGGTACAACCTGATGTTTCGATGTGTGTTTAAATGGGTGCATTGTGTAATGACCAAATTGAGGTAATTTATCCACCACCTTGAAGCGAGATTTTTGAATATTCTCATTGCGAAGAAGCAGGAATTTTTAGCAGACAACTCAGATGCTTCTTGTTCACACTAAGTCATTCTGATGATGGATTTACATAACTTGTTTTGCTTTTTGTGTGTGTGTGTTTTTGAGACAGAGTCTTACTTTGTCGACCAGGCTGAAGTGCAGTGGCACAATCTCGGCTCACTGCAACCTCCACCTCCCGGGTTCAAACGATTCTCCTGCCTCAGCCTCCTGAGTAGCTGGGATTACAGGTGCATGTAACTAGGCCTGGCTAATTTTTATATTTTTAATACAGATGGGATTTCACCATGTTGGCCCTGCTGGTGTCAAATTCCTGGCCTCAAGTGATCTACCAGCTGCGGCCTCCCAAAGTGCAGGGATTACAGGTGTGAGCCACCAAGCCTAGTACATTTACATTTCTTATCTGGATCTTTCCTTCAGTAAGTGCTAAGGAATCCTACTTCCCCCAATATTTTTTCCTATTTCAATGTTTTAGCATGTATATCATGTTACTACTTTGCAGACATTTGATTTTCCCCTTTGTTTACTGTAAAGTATATTTTTATAGTCTTTGATTAGTAATAGAAGTATTCTAAAATCTGCCTGCAACCTATCTTTCTGACTCTGCATTTTAGGGAATAATTCTCTGTTGTGGAATGAAAAAAAAACAGAGCCTGTGGAGTCAGAGATCTCATTTCAAATTATAGTTATCCCTAGGAATAAATCTGAGTGACAGGTGGTATGGTATAATAATAAGTATAAAGCTACGATTAAGGAAAACTCAACAACCTTATCTGTAAATTGGGATGACAACAGCCTACGTCAAAAAAATGTGAAGGTAAATGAGATAATGTAAGGCTGATACTTAGTAAGCATTTTAAAAACACCCAAAAAACTATTGCCATGATTACTCTACTTACTCTATTTCTCTATGCTCCAGGCAAATGAACTACTAATGACCCAGGGGTCCTTCCCCATTCTCTTCTTCACAAGGAAATAGTCTCTCTGTGTGTGCTGTTTATTAAAATCTACTGCCCCTTTTAGAAGCCTTTCCAGATCATCCCATGGCCAAGAATGATCGCTGCTTCCTCTTCTTTACATACAGATGTTTTTCTCCTGCTTGACAATTATTTTTGTGCAATTATTTTCTTTTTGTTTGTGTTTTTAATGTCCCCCCACCCCACCATTTTCCAGACTGTTTGCTCCACGAGAGAGGAAACCATCATCTCTGGGCTCACCGTTGTATGACCAGTATCCTGAGGAGTGGCTGTTACATAATTACATCAGGCACTCAGTAACAATTTGATGAATAAACACTGGATTTTAAGGCAGGTATCATATCTTACATAGCATATCATGTCTTACATTTTATATCCCTTACATAAATACCACAGAGTGAAGTATATGACAGATAAGGTCATTTCTCTTGATGAGTACATAGTCCAGTCTGAAACAGATATGCCAAAAAAAAAAACACTGGAGTAAACAAGATGAATTGTTTTAATAGAGGCATTGTATTAGTTTCCTAGGACTGCCAGAACAAATCACCTCAAACTTAGTGGCTGAAAACAACAAAAATTTGTTGTCTCACAGTTATAGATGCTAGAAGTATAAAATTAAGGTGTCAGTGGGATAGGTTCCCTCTGGGGGCTGTGGAGGAGAATCTGTCCCAAGCCTTCACATTGTAAAGTACAGTACTGGAGGGATAGGACTTCAACTTGCTCTATCTCAGATAGAGAGGAGCCATTTGTTGTGAATTGAGAAGAGGGGTATGTTGAATCCATAATAAGCACATAAAAACTTGGCTGGTTCATAGGAGAAGTAACATGTTTCCAGCTCTAGTAAAAAACAAATTGAAGTGGCCTATAAAAAGGTACAGAGTACGACAGAATGAAAAATAAATGAACAAGAATACAGAGAGGATGTGGTAAATTATCATGTTTCCCTAATATGGTTGCCAGGGCATTCTCATTTCTGTCCAATGGGAGAAACATTTTCGTTTGAGACCTCCGTGAATAATACAATCTTTTAGTTAGGAGAGCTGCATTTTGAGTGGTGCAGGCAGAATGGTGATCTCTCACCCACACAAACACTAAGATAGAGACAGAGACAGCAGAGAGAGACAGAGAAAGGAAGTACAGGTACTCAGATAGAGATAAGCCATTTCTTGACATTAAGAAATAAAGTAGAATCCATTGGAGGGAAATAAAACCGCCTCAGGAACAGAGTTAATTCACCTACACATGCAGGTAAACACACACTGCTTGATACTTACTGTGGACTTTGAAAATTATGAATGTGTGTGTGTGTGTGTGTGTGTGTGTGTACATTCGACCCTCCATATCCGTGGATTTTGCATTCACAGATTCAACCAACCATGAATTAAAAACGTTTGGAAATAACAAACATTAAAATATAACAATACAATAATAAAAAATAATACAAATAAAAAATATAGTATAACAACTATTTACATAGCATGTGTGTTGTATTAAGTAGTATAAGTAATCTAGAGATTACTTAATGTATAGAGGATGCATAGGCTATATGCAAATACTATGCCACTTTAAACTGATAAGAACAGATACTAAACTTCATCTTAGCCAAAAGTCAGAGAAACAATATAACTATGCCATTTTACATAAGGGACTTGAGCTGAGCGTCCTCAGATTTCAGTATCTTTGGGGTTCCTGGAAACAATTCCTTGTTTTATATATATATATATGATAGCTACTGAGTGACAGGTGATATTATACCATACCACTTGTCACTCAGTAGCTGTATATGCATATGTATATATATACATATACATATGTGTGTGTGTGTGTGTGTGTGTGTATGCTGTCTTTCCTCGGTATCACAGGGAATTGGAGATATATATATATACTTTTCAGTACAAAAAAAATTGAACACAGATGGGTATGGTACCAGAACAGGTGGTAAAGACACATGAAAAAAATTTGCAACAACATGAATGGACCTGGAGATCATTATTTGAGGAGAAATAATCCAGGCACAGAAAGACAAACATTTTATTATTTTAGGTGAAAGACAAACATTTTATTTTAGGTGAAATAATCCAGGCACAGAAAGACAAACATTTCATGTTCTCATTTATTTGTGGGATGTAAAAATCAAAACAATAGAACGCATGGAGGTAGAGAGCAGAAGGATAGTTACCATAGGCTGCAAAGGGTAGTGTAGGCTTTGAGGGTGAGGTGGGGATGGTTATTGGGTACAAAAAATAGTTAGAAAGAATAAATAATATCTAGTATTTAATAGCACAACAGGTTGACTATAGTCAAAATAACATAATTGTACAATTTAAATATGAAATTAAGTATATATACAAGACTAGAACACCAAGTTGAATGACTCCAGCTTGCGAAACCCACATCGATCACCATGCTTGCCCCAAGGGAAGCTGTACAATGTCTGGTGCGTCCAAAACCCCATCATTCATCACTAGCAATCTATTGTCCATAATCATGTTTAAATTAATAGCATTTTAAAAGCACAAAGATTTTTTTAAAATACAAATAATTATTTAATTTGCCTTTTAAAAACTTTTTTAAAGTCCTGAGGACTATTTTCTTTAAAGTGCTGAGTTATAGAACTCCATATATTGGGCTATGACAGCCTTACCTGATTCTTGTCAGGAATCTAGTACCCAGAAAATGCAAATACAAACTAAGCAACTCAAAAATAAACAAATAAATTGGAGGTATGCTACCTGTTGAAATATGACGTAGCGCAAACACCTATGCCACTTGCTTATGAATCATATAGGTTTTTGGTGTGCAGTTTTGATTGAATGACGGAGTTTACGCTGGACCACAAGGGGGACCCTCTGTCAATAACATACTCCATTTGTGTATTAAGTCAAAAATGAAATGGAAGAGAAAAGAAACATCGATGACCCCAAGTCTCTTTAATTGAATGGAGGTAAAAAAAAAAACAATGAATGAGAAAAGTACTCTGCCCTTTTAAGAATCTTGGATTCACATTCCTGATGAAGTTATTTTTCCTCTTCTCACTGATTCCCATTTCACTGTATTATATAGCACTGTGTTCCCCAGGAGCTCCTGAATGAAGGGCATCACTCAGCTGTGTTAGCATCTGGAACAATAAATATATTAGTTTCAATGTCTAGGCTATGGATATTCCTTTTTACTGAAGGTATGACATATAGCTGCCCAGGCTTGACAAAATTAATAGTAATAATAATTAATAATGGCAAATTTTTATTCTATTGAATTACTTGGCTTGACTTGTAGAAATAGCAACATTCATCTGAAATGCCCCCTCCTACACTTATGTCTGAGGACAAAGCACACCAATGATCCCACATACACCACAGATAACTTCTTTTTACATATTTTATTCTGTTACCAAACTAAATTTTTATCACATAGATCTACCTTCATAGTTTGTTGCTCACTGAACACTTCAGTAATTCTCAACATTCCATGTAAAGCATTAAGCATAGTCCCAACACAGAGCAAATAAGCAATAAGTGTTAGTTATTATAACATTATTATGTCTTTTCAGTGCATTAAACCACTGGTCTGATTCCTAGCCCAACATTCTCTTAAACCACAAAATCCAGTTGAATAATATATAATAATATAATAAAATGGTGATAAGTGCTAAATATCCAGATAGAAACACAGATGGAATCAGACAGCTTTCCCAAGAAATAGAGAAAATAGTAGATAGGAGATATAGGCCTAAGCACTCTAAGCAGAAGCTAAGTTATCACAGGATATCTTGGCAATCCGTGGCACGTGAACCCTTTTCTTCTGGAGTCTGGAACTATGTTGCAACTCTCACTTTCTCCCTATCTAGAGACTCAGTTTGTTCTCTTGTGATTATCAGCAGTGGAGAAATCCTTAGACCTTGTGAAAGGACTACTTTTTAAATTCATATATATATATAATATTTTAAATATATATTTTATATATACAATATAATATATATGTATATAAAATATAATATATATTTTATATATACAATATAATATATGTATATAAAATATAATATATATTTTATATATAATATAATATATTTTTAAATAAATATATATTTAAATATATAATATATAAAAATATATATATATTTTAATGAACAGAGTGTAAAGGATTATTTTGAAGAGAAACTCCTGGTTCCCACTTAAAATCCTTTCTTGTTTCTGAGTTTTTCAAATGGGACCCTCTTACCAGCTTGCCCCCTCAGAGATAAGCTGTTCCCCCACTTATTCAGATCTGAGATCTGAAAACATTCCTTTTCCTGTGAGCTCAGCTAGGACAAAGCTCGAGCTTTTTGATAAAATTTGAAAAACACATTTTTTAAAGATAAAAATTTTTAAAAATTGAAAAAAAATTTATAGAAAGAGACTTCTAATCCAAATTTAACTTCTCAAAATATGTTTTGACTGGTTAGCATAATGTTTCAGTCCTTCCGGAGAATGCCCCTTGAAACTTTTCTTCTACACAACTTCCTCCTTTCCTTTGACTTTCCTGCTCTGGAAGGGAAGAACTGGAACAGGACAGATCAAATTACTCATGAGGAAGGACAAGAAATAATGAACCAAATTATCAACAATTGGAGAAAGAAAGCTGATATCAGTATCATTTCATATATGATTATGTCAGAGTCAGGTGGATAAGCCAATCCTGTTGAATAGCATACTTTTCCTGCTACTCCTGAAGGGTAAAGAGGTCTTTCTCTTACAAAGCTGTCCTAGCTAGTAATCTTACAGGCTCAAAGAGCTTGTTTTCATGTTATTTCTTAGTAACTCAAAATACCTCTAAAGTTATACGTATTATGAAAGTACTATAGTCACAGTGCTGAGAAAAGGAGTAAATAAGGCAATGTATATAAAACCACTTGGCTCAGCCCCCGGCTCTGTGGTTGATAAATATTAAGCTAGTATTCATTATTATTATAATCTCCAAAGAGTCCATTACAAGATATAGAAGAATGGAGGCAGCAATAACACTAAGAGAAAATTCCATTATCTCCAACTATTTATCCTCTAGCCCAACATAATTGCTATTAGAAAGAAAGAGCAACTTTAACAAAAATTTTAAGTTGCAATAGATGTTCAACTTTAAATCCATCCCAGAAAAATTTCTAACCAAAGGAGCATAGAAGATTTAATCTTATTTTCTAAGTAGTATAGACTTAATTGTGAGAACAAAATAAAAACTTGGGGAAATATTAGGGAAGAGAAATAAGGGTGTGAAGAGCTGATTATTACAATTCCTTCTTTCCCTTCTTGTCTTTTATTGCTGATGGGTAATAAAATATGCAAAGAATGTGCTGAGAAATAAACTAAACAAATAAGCCAGTATACCACAAAGATCATTTGAAACTTAAACAATTAAAATAAGATATCTGCTAAAATAATAATTGGCAGGGCTAGCACAGTTTCTTCTTTCATGTATTTCTTCCCTCATTTGACAAATAGACATACAACTGTAGGTCAAATCGTGTGGTATACTTGAGGCATTCAGAATTAATTGGGCATCATTCCTGCCTTTGCGTCAGTCTAATGAGGAAGAAAATCTTTCAATAATGATTTCATGTCCTTCATGTCATTACAGATGGGTAGATAGAGTACTATGACAGCACAAAAGATGGAATAAAAATATCTTCCTGCAGAAGGTCCAAATAAGTCCAATGCAAGGGTGATATTTGAGACGAGCCCTAATGCATGACTAAAACATTTCCAGAAAGCTAAGTGGCAGCGAATATCACAAGCAAATGAGACAGATTTTTTTAAATCCTAATATCACAAAATAGCCAACAATATTCTAGAAACCATTTGAAGTTCAATGTATCCAGTTTTCATATGTGATGGCAGAAGGGAATCGGGGAGTACTAGTGAATTAGAGATGAGGCTGGAAAGCTTAATTATTCAGGATTCTATACGGTAGATAAAATAAACCAATTCCAGTTAGCTTAAGCAAAAAAGAGAGGGAGTAATGGTGGTAGGGGCTTATTATAAAGATACAAGAATGTCTCACAGAAGCCAAATGTAGAAATGACAATGGGTCTCAGGAAATGCAGTAATCAAGATCTTGGAGATTATAAATTGAAGGAGTGCTCCATTTCTAATATTGTTTCTGCTCCTCTCTGGGCACTTGCTTTATTCTGCTTTCTAGTTAATCCTGCTTTCTTTGTTAGTCAATTCATATGTGAGGTAGAAGCTAGCTAGCCACTCATGTAATGCTTCCAGTCACTTTAAACTTGAATTCAACACCTTGGCAAAAATATTCTCCAAAGCTGAGTCAGATATCTACTCTTCATCCATTTCACAGTGACCAGGGGCATGAGGTTTTCAAGGTAGAAGTTCATCGCAAGACTAGATTTGTATGAGATTTTGCAAAGATTTGTACATCTTGATAAAAAGTTTAAACTTTGTTTAGCAGAGAAAAATAGAGTAAAGGTAAAGGTTTACAAGGAAAAGATGACTTTTTTTCCCTTTTAGGACTAAGTAGAGGTAGCTGCTGGTTATGAGTAAAATAGTCAAGAGTGACAGGATTTTAGCCTGAACTGCTGTGAAGAGTGGTGTCATCATTTATTCAGGTACGACAGGGAGGGAAGTCTGGCAATAGGTTGGGTTGGTATTGGGGAGGCACAAAGTAAATTTGTTGGGCAGTGGGTTGTAGAGCAACTTATCTTTCACTATGTGAAGCTTGAGCTAATAGACTTCCAGTTGGAGACCTCAATTAAGTAATTACATATTTAATGCTGAATCTCAAGGGAGAAGTCTAAGTGGACAACAAATACGAAAAAAATGCAGGTCTCAGTCAAGATCAGAAGTGTTTAGTGCACCAGCTTCTGTACCAAATCAATCCATTCAGTTAAAAAAATAATTTATTCTTTTATTGCTATAAAGTTTATTTGGGTGTTATTGATCGCTCCTAGCAATGGTTCAGTAATCTAGGCTCTTTCTGTCTGGCTGTATCATTCTCCAGGGCCTCTGCATCCTCTGCTAGAGCCTCTGTGTGTTTCAGAAACCATTAGGGTAAACAAAGAGAGGGGAAAATTGTATAGGAGGTTTTTGGAGGGGGATAAGCTTGGAAGGGGCATACATCACTTCCTCTCATATGTTATTAGTTCTTACACAATAATGAGGACACCCCTACCTTTAAGGGAGACTGAGACATGCGGCCTAGCTGTATTCCCAGAACAATAGGGAAATGTGTTTGGTGAACCTCTAGCCAGTTGTGGCCAGATATAGATGGTACTTGGAGTTTGAAATCACCTCAAGAGACACTATAGAATGAAAAGAGCAGGGCCAAAGGGAGAGCCCTGGAACACTCCAACATTTAAAGGTCTGGTAAAAAAGGCAGGGCTGGCAAAGGAGACTGAGAAGGGACGCCAGTCAGTTTCAGAGGACAATGGTGTCATACAGTCTAGAAGAGAAAGTGTTAATGAAGGAATTAGCAATTAACTTTGTTAAACTCTCTGAGTGTCTGCACTGACGGTTTTTTTATATCCTTGAGGACAGGTTTATACACAGAAAACTCTTCAGAGTTTTACTTTAATTTTTATAATCAATATTTAACTGATTGAAGCTACATTTAAAAAAACCCTGTTCTTTAGCTTCTTGATATTCCATATATATATATATATCTTTGTTGGGAGCAGGCCCCCAAAAATCTGGCCATAAACTGGCCCCAAAACTGGCCATAAACAAAATCTCTGCAGCACTGTAACATGTTCATAATGGCCCTAACGCCCAAGCTGGAAGGTTGTGGGTTTACAGGAATGAGGGCAAGGAACACCTGGCCTGCCCAGGGTGGAAAACCACTTAAAGTCATTCTTAAGCCACAAACAAAAGCATGAGCGATCTGTGCCTTAAGAATATGCTCCTGCTGCAGTTAACTAGCCCAACCTATTCCTTTAATTTGGCCCGTCCCTTCATTTCCCATAAGGGATACTTTTAGTTAATATCTATAGAAACAATGCTAATGACTGGCTTGCTGTTAATAGATATGTGGGTAAATCTCTGTTCAGGGCTCTCAGCTCTGAAGGCTGTGAGACCCCTGATTTCCCACTTCACACCTCTATGTTTCTGTGTGTGTATCTTTAATTCCTCTAGCGCCGCTGGGTTAGGGTCTCCCAGACCAAGCTGGTCTCGGCATATCTTACTCTATTTAGAAATCTAATAAATTTTAACAATAACTTACAGGATATCTCATAGTCTTCGTCTTATTTTACATAGTTAATTAAATACTGTTAAGCATTTTAAATAACATTTATAAATGTATTCTATTAATATTTTAGGTACTTCAATGGTCTGTCCAACA
The DNA here is from genome assembly GCF_000001405.40 of Homo sapiens. Classification (NCBI taxonomy): domain Eukaryota; kingdom Metazoa; phylum Chordata; class Mammalia; order Primates; family Hominidae; genus Homo; species Homo sapiens. The sequence goes on along the minus strand of NC_000011.10, from coordinate 49,215,810 downwards.
AACATTTCTAAGTACTTAAAATTAATTTTTGTAAGTCTAATATATTTAATTTATAATTATGAGTAATCTTAACTTCTTTTTTCTTTTTTTTTTTTTTTTTTGAGACAGGGTCTCACTCTGTCACCCAGGCTGGAGTGCGGTGGCTTGCACTCAGGCTTACTGCAGCTCCAACCTTCCAGGTGTGAGCTATCCTCTCACCTCAGCCTCCCCAGTAGCTGGGACTATAGGCGCAAGCCACCACACCCAGATAATGTTTCTATTTTTTGTAGAGATAGGGTTTCACCATGCTGCCCAGGCTGGTCTGGAACTCCTGAGCTCAAGCAATCTGCCCACCTCAGCCTCCCAAAGTGCTAGGATCGTAGGAGTGAGCCAGTGTGCCTGGCCCGATTTTAACTTCTTTTCCATATTCCAGTCACAGTGCATATAAATACCGTAAGTACTTTGAATTTAAAACTCAAAAGGTGAACTCAACTACTCAATTTATACAGCTTACATTAAAAAAAAGTTTCATTGAATAGTCAATATTCTTCTGAACAGTACGCATCACATTTTTGAAATACTAAATATGCTTAAACTTATTTTAACTAATGGGTTTAATTACCTAAATATTTCTATGTTTACTTTAAATATTTTAAGGGTAAAAGTAGGCTTTCCCACAAAGGAAACAACAGTGTTACCACAAAGTCTTTGAGGATACTCCCCTAGATGGTTGGAATATGCATATTCGCCTAAGATATTGACCAGGGACTCTGATATCTGTTACTGTGATAGAACATATTCAGTCTTATCTGTAGTCACCATATCAACTCACTAAATGGTCTTGCAAATCTTATGGCTCAGGTACATTACATGCTTCAGTTTGGATTTCACCTATAATATTTTTTTCCCACAGAACTCTGCAAACCCACTCAGGGTTATATCACTGGATTTAATTTTCTTTGGCTTTTATATTATTTAAAATATCTTCTTACATAGGTCAAAATACCTCTGATCTTGATGGAAACCTACACCTTTGTCATGTTTTTCCTGTTTGGTAAGAACAGATGTTCTTATGGGTCTAAAGAATTCTTATGGCTATACCACGTCACATGGTTCAGTTGTTCCACTGACACACACACACACAAACAAAACAGAATCAAAAAACTGATCACTGCCTTTGAAAAGACCTAGACCATTGGTAACTTTGAGAAGAGCCTTTTCTGGGAATGGTAAAGATTACAAATGAGGCAAAATGGAACAATTTGCCCATATTTGCATATGCGAGTTACTGACTGAGATAAATTTAAAATCAGGTATGTATGATTCATATACCTAACCTATTGAACATTATAACTTAGCCTCGCCTAAGTTAAACATCCCAGAACACTTACATTAGCCAACAGTTGAAAAAAATCATCTAATACAAAGCCTATTTTGTTATAAAGTGTTGAGTATCTCATGTAATGTATTGAATACTGTTCAAAAAGCGAAAAGCAAAATGATTGTATGAGTACTTGAAGTATGGTTTTTGCTGAATGTATATCACTTATGCAGCATCATAAAGTTGAAAAATCCTAAGCCAAATCATTGTAAGTAAGGGAGCATCTATTAAATTCTCATGTGAATCAGGTACACGTAAAAAAATTTGTTTTAAGTACTCATGTGATATTACCAAGAAAGTGAAAAGACAACTAGAATGTCAAATGAAATGTTTGTAAATCACTTATTTGATAAGAATTTTGATATGAATAAAAATGAAATACCTCATTTTATGTCTATTCTTTAAAATATTATAAATATATTTTATAAATACTATAAAGTGACAAAATGATAAGATAGATCTTTTATATGCTCATGTAAAATTCTGCATTATTGAATAAAATAAATTATAAAATTATAGTCATAATATATACAAAAACTCCTACAAATAAAAAAGAAAAAGGCAGAATACCCAAGCGAAAATGGGACAAAACACTTGGTCAGTGCAAAAAAAGAAGAGTACAAATTAGAAGCAACCACATGAAAAGCTGCTCCATTTTAGTTGTCATCAGTAAAATACCAGTTGGTTGGCAAGAACAGAGAGAAACTGGAATTCCACATACTCTTCTGGTATGAATAGTACATAAAAACCTTAGAAAACTCTAAAAGTTTCTACTAAAGCTGAACATATACATACCTATGACTTCTAGATAAATACCCACAAAAATACATACATATGACCTCCAAAAGATATGCACAAGAAAGTTCACTGAAGTACAATTTCTAATAGCCAAGAACTGGAGAAAATCTAAAAATCTACTAAGGAGAGAATAGATAAATAAATTGTGAAACATTTATACAACTGATAAATCTACAACACTGAAAATGAATGAACTATTGCTACATGGAAAGACAGGGAGTGTCCAGTGGTGTGCTGCAGCCTGCTTCTGCCAGCTTACAAAAGGCAATTGTGGCCTTCCCTTTCAGACTGCACATTCAGTAACTTCTTGTTGTTTCCTTGATATCTGCCATGGTTGGGAATATTTGCATCACAGAAATCAGTAAATGCTGCAAACCAAGGCTTTCCCCCTTCTTTAGAGCTGATTTACTAGCACACTACTAATGTATTTCACAAGCATAGTTCCTAGGGAAACAAGCCAAACACAAAAATACAAGTACTACGTGATTCCAATTACAGAAATTTCAAAACAGCAAAACTAGACATTATTTAGAATTTAGAACAGGAGAATAGTGGATATCCGTCAGCATGAAAGATAGTGATGTAAAGGGGATGTGATGAGGGCTTGTGGAGTTTTGTTGATACCCTGTCTCTTGATCATGATGCTGAATGACCAGTGTGTTCATTTTGTAAAAACTCATCAAGCTGTACACTTAAGACTTGTACATTTTATGTATGTATATGTTAATTAAAAGTTTTCTTAAAAATAAAGGCATAGCATGATTTCATTTTTCATTCGAAGTACTGTGTGTATTTGAAGAAAAATGTCTCAAATAATTACTACCAAAATGTTGACGGTATTCATCTCTGGATGGTGATATGTTAAGGGAAAGGACAGAGGGTTATAAAATGGTACTTAAGCTTCCTACTTTTTATACTTCTGTATAAAAATAAGCATTTTGGCCAGGCGCGGTGGCTCACGCCTGTTATTCCAGCACTTTGGGAGGCCGAGACAGGCAGATAAGGAGGTCAAGAGATCGAGACCATCCTGGCTAACATGAAATTCTGCCTCTACTAAAAATACAAAAATTAGCTGGGCATGGTGGCACACACCTGTAGTCCCTGCTACTCAGGAGGCTAGGCAGCAGAATATCTTGAACCGGGGAGGTGGAGGTTGCAGTGAGCCGAAATCGTGCCACTGCTCTCCAGGCTGGGCAACAGAGCAAGACTCCATCTCACAAAAAAAAAAAAAGCATTTTATTTTAGTAATAAAAATTAGCAGAGGAAAAATATATATTTTATTTAAATATTACAAGCATTTTTTCCTAAAATATGTTCATTTACTACTCCATTTCATCATTACATTGGAGACAGTATTACCACATTTTCTATTTTTCAAAATTCCGAAGCAAAGAAATCTGTCTACAAAGTTCCCTCTGCAAATATTCCCCTACTTTAGGTAAAGTTAGCATAAGGAGAATGAGAATTAATTACTTTGAAACAATGGAATTCAGATGAACCATTAGGGAACATTCTTATTTATCTATGGCCCTATCTTTTTGTTTATATCAAATTTAAAATTTATACTTTAAATACAATAAAGTGCACATATTTTTAACATATGACAAAAAGAATTCAACAAATATAAATGCCTATGTAACCACCCCCAATTTAAAAAGACTGAAATTTTAAAAAATCAAATTACTTGGAGAAATAAGTTAGAATTTTTATCTTCTAGAGCTCTGTTATTCAGCATGCAGTTTAAAGTCCAAGAATGCTATGTCTACAGATTAAGAAGTAGCCAAGGAGGCTGGGCATAGTGGCTCATGTATTTATTCCCAGGGCTTTGGGAGCCTGAGACAAGAGGATTGCTTGTGGCCAGTTCACGATCAGCCTGGGCAACATGGCAAGACCCTGTCTCTACAAAATTTTTTTTAAAATGAGTAAGGCATGGTGGCTGGTGTTTGTAGCTTCTGCTACTTGGCAGGCTGAGGTGGGAGGATTGCTTGAGCCCAGCGGTTTGAGGTGACAAAGCCAGACTTTGACAATAAATAAATGAAAGAAAGAAAGAAAGAAAGAAAGAAAGAAAGAAAGAAAGAAAGAAAGAAAGAAAGAAAGAAAGAAAGAAAGAAAGCCAGTGATTTTTCTTGACTAAGTATTTTTCAAAGGCAAATATGGGTAAAAGGCTGGAAATAAGAGGAATTAAAAATATTTTAATTTTTTTCTAGAACACACCTCATAGATGAGTATAATACTTTGATTTAGTTCATGTTTGTTTCTACAAATTCTGACATGAAGAGTCACCTTCAATCTTTTTCCAATAGTTAAAGAAGGAAGTATAGTATGGCCTAATGCTTATCGGTGGGATTCAGAAAACAAACATCTGCCCATTGTTTTCTTGAGAAAGTTGTCATGGTCAACAACTGTGAGGCTGGCGTGCAGGTAGTAAAAGAATTTACCTTAATACCAAGACAGTAATGAGTTTAGAAAGGCATATTTATTTAGAGAAAAGGGGAGACACATTGCAAGGGAGCAACTGGCCAGACAGCAGAGGGAAGGCTGTCTGCAAAGAGGCAGGGACTCGAGTGGAGTTTTATAAGGGTGCTCCTTAGGCTGAATGCTTGCAGACAGGATGCTTGGTTACAGATGGGCTGTGAGCTGGGTGCTTGTAAGAGGATGCTTGGGTGCTAAGTGAGCCATTTGCAGTTGACCCTATTCTTGGAACATTCATTCCCCTCTACCCCTGTTTCTGTTCCTGCCAGCTAAGCCCATTTTTCATTTTTCTTTTAACTCCTTAGCGCTCCGCAAAACTTAATCAATTTCTTTAAACCTCAGTTTTCTTATCTGTAAAAGGTAAATAATAATACAGGGTGCAACAGAAAAATCTAGTGTGGTTTACATAATCACCTGTTAGAGATTTTAAATTATTTCAGGATAAGTCATGATAATTAAATGAAATAATGCACATAAAGCACATAGTGTGGTGTCCTCCATATAGAAAATGCTCAGTATATTGGTTATTAACTACTTGTTGAAGGTTTATCTTCTCCACTAAACTGTAAGTTCCACAAGCCTTACAATATGTGACAGATATTCATTCATTGTCTGAATTCTTCAAATACATCCTCTTCACCATAGCGTCTTATTAATTGAATTATTAATTGAATAAATTCTATTGTTCAAAAATCACTTTTATATTTAACTGAAATTTGCTTACTTATAATCACATCTAACCTTCAAAGAAAACACATTAACCAACTGTACTGGGTAATGTTACTGGGTGATCCCACGTTTTACAAATGAGAAGATATATTCTGGTAAGTTGAATACTTAGCACCCAGGGGTACACAGCTTGGACAGGACCAGGTCCAAAGACTGTTAAGAGTCTTCTGACTCCAAACTCAGTGCTCCCTCCAGTGCCACAAGCAAACTCCATAAAGGTATCCTGTGCTGAATAGAGACTGTAGAGTGGTACAAAGTAAGACAGACATTATATTAAGTCTTAGCTTTGTGACTTCGAATGACTTACCTAATCTAGCTAAATTTCAGTTTTACCATGTGTAAATCGGGAAGAGTAATAGAACAAACCTTGAAGGGTCCCAATGGTGATTAAATGAGGTGATGTACATAACATGCATCACTCATAATAAGTGCTCTTTAAATATTAGTCACTATTATTAGCCATCTCTGATTAGATTTGACAATAGGAACATTAGGAAAGATATAGTACATTCAGGATTTTGTTAGAAAGAGATGAAGAAATTCCCTTCCTTCCTGCCCTAGGTCATCTAGGAGTTGTCATGGTTCATTGTTGACAAATTAATTTTCCCAAATTTTTCACTTTGCTCAGAAAGTCTACATCGAAGCACCCAAGACTGTACAATCTAGTCCATCTTTTTCCACTTAACTCATACTGTGCTCTCCCTTTCTCAAAGCAAACTGTTTGCTATTCCTTGAATACACTCTGAGTTTTCTGCCTTTGCCTACTCAGCTGGCCCATGGCCCCTAATGTTTCTTCTCATCTCCACTGGGTCAAATCCTACCTGTACCTTATGGTTCTGTTAAAAGCAGTGCTTCCATAAAGTACTCCTAGCAAATGCACGGCCTCTCTCACGGATTATAAGAACACAGTTTATTTTATAAAGCATGTAGCTATTCTCTCCCTTGAAATACGATTATTATTATTAAGAATTTATAGCGGGGATATAATTTTGTATGATGATTCTTCTGGTTAATCCAACCAAGATTGATTTTATATCTATTACGTAAGACAGTAGCCAGACATAGCCGGGATATGAAAATAAAGTCTCTGCCTTCAACAAGTTCCAGTATTCTTTTCTTTCCTCCCCTCCCCTCCCCTCCCTTCCCCTCCCCTTCCTTCCCTTTCCCTTCCCTTCCTTTCTTTCTTGAGGGAGTCTCACTCTGTCACCAGGCTCCAGTGCAGTGGCGCTATCTTGGCTGACTGCAACCTCCGCCTCCCCGGTTCAAGCGATTCTCCTGCCTCAGCCTCCTGAGTAGCTGGGACTACAGGAGCCCGCCACCACGCCCAGCTAATTTTTGTATTTTTAGTAGAGATGGGGTTTCACCATGTTGGCCAGGATGGTCTCGATTTCTCGACTTCGTGATCCGCCTGTCTGGGCCTCCCAAAGTGCTGGGATTACAGGCGTGAGCCACCACGCCCGGCTTTAAAAAATGGTTTTGTAATGTAAGTGGAGGATAATACCCTACATGTTTATTAATAACAATAATATTCTTTAGGAAAAAGGGCGCGGTGGTGATTTACACTGATGACAAGCATTCCCGACTATGGAAAAAAAGCGCAGCTTTTTCTGCTCTGCTTTTATTCAGTAGAGTATTGTAGAGATTGTATAGAATTTCAGAGTTGAATAAAAGTTCCTCATAATTATAGGAGTGGAGAGAGGAGAGTCTCTTTCTTCCTTTCATTTTTATATTTAAGCAAGAGCTGGACATTTTCCAAGAAAGTTTTTTTTTTTAAGGCGCCTCTCAAAAGGGGCCGGATTTCCTTCTCCTGGAGGCAGATGTTGCCTCTCTCTCTCGCTCGGATTGGTTCAGTGCACTCTAGAAACACTGCTGTGGTGGAGAAACTGGACCCCAGGTCTGGAGCGAATTCCAGCCTGCAGGGCTGATAAGCGAGGCATTAGTGAGATTGAGAGAGACTTTACCCCGCCGTGGTGGTTGGAGGGCGCGCAGTAGAGCAGCAGCACAGGCGCGGGTCCCGGGAGGCCGGCTCTGCTCGCGCCGAGATGTGGAATCTCCTTCACGAAACCGACTCGGCTGTGGCCACCGCGCGCCGCCCGCGCTGGCTGTGCGCTGGGGCGCTGGTGCTGGCGGGTGGCTTCTTTCTCCTCGGCTTCCTCTTCGGTAGGGGGGCGCCTCGCGGAGCAAACCTCGGAGTCTTCCCCGTGGTGCCGCGGTGCTGGGACTCGCGGGTCAGCTGCCGAGTGGGATCCTGTTGCTGGTCTTCCCCAGGGGCGGCGATTAGGGTCGGGGTAATGTGGGGTGAGCACCCCTCGAGTTAGGAGGAGGGTAGCTGGGAACGGTGCAGGGCTGAGTTCTCGACAAGCTGCTGGTAGGACAGTCACTCAGGTTGAGGGTAGAACTGAGAGAACCTGAAACTGGGCGTAGGAAGGTTCCAAGTGCTGGAGCCCTGCAAGACAGAGGAAGTTTTTTTTTTGCTTTTGTTTTGTTTTGTTTTGTTTTGTTTGTTTGTTTGTTTTTTTACCTCTCTGTGCATTCTTTCTTCCTTGGAAGTAACAGAGGCAAGCTTGGGAACTGTGTGAACCAGGTCAGCAATCTGGACAGGTCTTTACCAGCGGGTCTTTTGCTGTTTTTCCTGGGTACTGATTTGCAGACTTGATCCAACTTTCTAAGAAAAGCAGAACCACACAGGCAAGCTCAGACTCTTTTATTAAATTCCAGTTTTGACTTTGCCACTTCTTAGTGGCCTTGAACAAGTTACCGAGTCCCTCTCAGCGTTAGTTACCCTATTTTATGATGAGGATAATATTATCTGCAAATTATTGGTAATAGTAAATAATATAGCATGTAAATCTCCTAGCACAGTACTGGGATTTTCGCCACTTTATTTCTTCTTTTACCAAGATACTCCTCATTGGACTTTAATACACAGGACTAGTCTAAGGTATCACCAGGTAGTCCACTCCTGCTCGGAATTCTTGACCCTCTTTCGGGATTTAGAAGAACAGGGCATGGACCAGATGGGTTTAAACAAATTCAATATCTTCCACTAGCTTCACCTTGGGGTTGTTAAAAGATTTTTGAACCACACACTGTGCTCATAACAATCTTCATCTCTTAAAAGGATTTTATTCTTCCTGGTATTGCCCTCACTCTCATCCCTGTATTCCGTGCTCAGTGGCTGACACAGAAGAGTTCTTTATTGATGTCCGCCCCCCACCCACTAGGATTCTCTGCTCTCCCCTCCCCCTACAGGCCTCCATCCTCTTCATCCTGTTCATTTTTCAGATCTCAGTTCAAGCATCTCGTCCTCAGTGTGGTGTTTCCTGATCCCTCACTCTAATCCAAGTCTTTCTGTTTTATGCACAGGTGGAATCTTATTTCCGTTTGCGTGCAATCATGTATTTTAATATGCATGTATATATGTATGTGCATTTGTATGCATGCGATTAAGAACTAGAATAATTAATAATTGGAAAGCTCCATGAAAGCTGGTTGGGGACTAATTTTGTAACTACTTTATTCCCAGATCCTGTAATTTCTCTAAATAAACCCTGGAATCTTGCCTTATCTCCTTCAGGTTAAAAGCCAACTGCAAGGTCTAATGACTGCAGGATCTAGCTATCCATTGTTTCTGGCCGCCTATGCGTGCACTGGGTGTCTGGCAGAGAGGCTGGGTAAATTGTAGTTTCATTGTAGCTGTCTGAACTTGGATTTCTCACGCCTACTTCACTGGAAACGCAAACTCTCACAGCATTTTGTTTTAGTTTCAGAATCAGAGCAAATTAGAAGTCTGAATTTCCTTCAACACTTGGAAATAATTTATTTATTTGAAATATATTCATAATTAATTCGTTATAAAAATGTATTAAATGCTTATTTGAGTCAGCAGAGGAAGATAGAAACTTTATGAAAGTAGAAGGTGGATCTCCTTTTTGCCTTCATTTTCAGAACATCTCGTTTACACCCATTAGTTGAAACATTAATGTCATTTTATTTTCGTCCTGATTATCTCATAAAACATTTCTTAGAATAACAGCAATACCTATCATTGAAGTTGGATAAGAAATATTTTGCAATTGGTTTGCAACTTAAAAATCTGTTTGCATGACTCTTTTTCAGTGAAAGTAGGCAAGAGAAATTAAAATTCAGAAATATCTCACCTAATGTCAGAGGTAATATTGATAATTTGTGTTTTACAAATAATACATACAACAATAATGAAAAATAAGTCCTATCTATAGGCTCGTATCTCATGCCTATTTTTGGATGTATTTTTCAGGGTGGTTTATAAAATCCTCCAATGAAGCTACTAACATTACTCCAAAGCATAATATGAAAGCATTTTTGGATGAATTGAAAGCTGAGAACATCAAGAAGTTCTTATAGTAAGTACATCCTCGAAAGTTTATATGGACAAGTTGTTAGAAAAATTTATCATTCTGTTTTGGTCCAATATTTTATATATAGGAACTGGACTTTTTTCTTAAAATTTTATTTATTAAAGATCTTGGATCACATTTCATCTGAGGAGGACTATACTTTCAGCTAAATTTTGTCATTACAGAGGTTTAGAGCAGGAGTCAGCAAACTTTTTCTGTACAAGGACCAGCCTTTGTAGGCCAGCTGATCTGTGTCACATCTAGTCAGCTCTGCTATTGCAGCACAAAAGAAGTCATAGAAAATACATAAACAGTCAGTTCTGATAAAACTTTCCTTATGGGCACTGAAATTTGGATTTCATATAATTGATGTGTCAAAAATATTATTTTTAAAACCAATTTAAAATATAAAAACCATTCTTAGCTTGTGGACTGTACAGAAACAGTTAGTGGTCCAGATTTGGCCAGTGGAACCTAGTTTGCTGATTAATGCTTTAGAGAAAGATATTGCATTTCAGTTAAAAAAATGGACTTTGAGTTAGAATTGAGTTTGAATTCCATCTTTGCCTATTAATACTTTGGATGAATACTTAACCTTTCTGAGCTCTCTTTTCCACATCTGTAAAATGGGAATAATGATCTTATTATGATATGGATGAAGTCAAAGAGCATATATTTAGCATAAATTTGGCATATTTTAAAAACTAGCTCCCTACTTCCTGAAATAGCTATTTCCAGTGTAGGACGAAAGAGATAAATAAGTAAATTTAAAAAGCAACCAAAAAGAAAATACTTATATAGAATTACTATATATAATTGATTAGAATACTTGTTTTTTTTTCTTTTCTTTTCTTTCCTTTTTTCTTTTGAGATGGAGTTTCGCTCTTGTTGCCCAGGCTGGAGTGCAATGGCGTGATCTCAGCTCACTGTAACCTCCGCCTCCCAGGTACAAGCGATTCTCATGCCTCCTGAGTACCTGGGATTACAGGCATGCACCACCACACCCAGCTAATTTTGTATTTTTAATAGAGACAGGGTTTCTCCATGTTGGTCAAGCTGGTCTCAAACTCCTGACCTCAGGTGATCTGCCCGCCTCGGCTTCCCAAAGTACTGGGATTACCGGTGTGAGCCCCCACACCCAGCCCAGAATACTTGCTTTTTTTTTAAGCATGAGATCCTTTTGTGAATTTTTACAAATTGAGTTAGCTCATGTGTCCTAAAATACTTGAAGTCCCTCTAATGATTGCAGGATTCGCTGGTGAATAAAGGTTGTAATTCTAAATTAAAAGACCATTACACACACACACATGCACATAGGTATGCATAGATGTGCACACATATAATCATACAAACATATATATGTTTGTATTAATTACAACAGAATTAAAAGTATAAATACAAATTGATAGGATACCTCTCAGGTCTTTGGAAGGGCCGTTTTAAATGTGAGACTCTGAAGCTCGAACTTCTTTATCTTTGTGGAAAACCCTCCTCTGCCTGTTGTGCTTATTCCACTCTAATAATGTATAGTAGGTATAATAAAAGTGGAGGTCTGGCAAGGTATGGTCTTTACTCCTTGACAGAGCTGCTGTTCCAGCTTTCTTCCTTTCCCAATATTAGTGGTGGAAGAGATCCAAGTTACTCCAAGTTATCAGCAGCCTATCCATAAGGTCAGCAGCAACTTCAGTCCTTGCCTCTTCAGAAGAAAGAATTCAACTGGGGGCAAAAGCAGAAAAAGAGACCAAGGCAAGTTTCAGAGCAGGAATGGAAGTTTATTTTAAAAGGCCTTATAACAGGAAAGAAAGGAAGGTGTGCTTGGAAGAGAGCCAAGCAGGCACATGAAGGTGAGAGAAGGCCAAGTGCCCCACTTAACTGTGATCGTAGGACTTCTTTACGCTTGCCTCTTTCCCATGATTCTTCTCTTAGGGTGGGCTGCCCAGCCCTCCTAACCCTTGGGAAAAGAGCACCCGCAATGTGTTTAGGGAAGTATACACAGGCCCATCTGAGTCTCTCTTCCTTTTTCTGGTGGAGTGTACCTGGAAGATTATACTATACCATTTTTGTCTCTAACACGCATGCCCAGGAAGTTGCTTCTCCCTGGAGTCTGCATTCAGTTAACATTTTGGTGTTAACAGGTGTGGACCATCAAGAGCTGGCCTCTCCCTGGCACTGCTAAATCATTTTTAGAGAGGCAATGCGATCAATGCTGAACTGAACCATCACCTGACATTCTAGAGGGTGGGGGGAGAGCCCCCTCCTGACTTGCTCCTGTCTAACTACTTGTAACACTAACTTGTGACATAGATTGACCAACAAAGAAGAAAAATAAATGCCTTTATTTCTCTTTTTGGACCCTCAGCAAGATTAAGCAGTCAGCTTCTTGTTTATTCTCCATGTCTCTAACCAAGCTCCTCTAACCAGAACACAGGGGGATATTCAGCATAAACACACAAAAGAAAGAAATTGAAAGAATTCCCTCTCATTCCTCCAAGGACCACAGAATCTCCAGAAGCCTCCTAAACTCTCCAGATTTTCAATTTGCCATTTGTCCATCAGAGAGCTTTCAATTAAAATATACCCATGGGTCAGAGACTATTAAAACCTCTGACCTTCCATCTGGTCCCCCTTTAAAATCTTTTGTTCTGCTCTTAAAAGCCCCCACTGCCTCTGAAATATCTGCCTCAGTAGTGAATGGGAAGATTAATTAGGAGCAGCTTTTTTTCACTCTGCCTTGATGTACAGGGTTGTCTGTGTTTTCCCTTCTTTGAAAACACCCAGTTGAATTCACAGATCTGTTTACCATTTTGCATCTCTCTAGAGGGATTCTTCCTTTTCCACATTGTTTTGCAAGATAAGATTGTTTTAAAAGGTGTTTTAGACTTTTGGTCTCAGAATTTTACTGGTCTGTATTTGAATACATAGGTCTGTATTTGAATATATAGGCCCAATGAAATCACATATTAAACTACACTTCTTAATCTATTAATCACTTGAGATGTGTGTCACAAGTAATTTGTTGATACTAGAATATCAAATTTTGTTAAAAAGAAAAGGTAAGAATAAGAATTTACACATTTTCCAGAATAGCAAAAATCCATTCATAGATCTCTCTCAGACTGGTTTAAATATATTCCAAGTATCGTCACATTATCTCAATTATTATTATCATTATTATTTTCAGACAAGGTTTCACTCTGTTGCCAGGCTGGAGTGCAGTGGCACAATCATAGCTCACTGCAGCTTGGAGCTCCAGCCTCCCCAGTAGGTAGTACTACAGGCACATGCCACCGTGCCCAGCTAATTCCACCTTTTACTAAATACCTTCGTCATCTTGAAGTCTTGGAAACACTGCCAAATTATTTGTAAACAAGATGAAATGTACTGAAACAGAAACAACAGTAGCTCTTTTAAAGGACTGAGATAATGTATTCGGGCATAGTGGCTCACCCATGTAATCCCAGCTCTTTGGGAGGACAAGGCAGGCAGATGCCTTGAGTGAGACTCTGTCTCTACAAAATATTTTTTTAACTTATCTGGGCATGGTGGCATGTGTCTGTAGTCCTATCTACTCAGGAAGCTGGAGTTCCAGGTTTTAGTGAGCTATGATTGCACCACTGTATTCCAGCCTGGCAACAGAATGAGACTCTGTCTCTTACAAAAAAAAAAGAGATAATGTGACAATACTAGAAACACATTTAAAGCAGCCCTACAGTGATATATAAACAGAATTTGGCTATTTGGGAAAATTTGTAAATTCATATTTTTATTCTTATTCTTGTTTATTTTTTACAAAATTTGATATTCTGGTAGGTTCAACAACTTGTGACACACATCTCAAATGATTAAAATCATTGAGAAGTGCTATTTAATACGCAATCTAATTGAGCCTCAAGTCTTTGTGAAGTAGTGAGACAGTGATGTTCTCCCCATATACAGATGAGAAACTCAAGACACAGCTAGGGTTACATACTGAGTTAATGACAACACCTGTATTATACCACGTACATGATTTATGCTAATTAATTTATTTAGTGTTTGCAATGGATCTTTTTTTCTCCTACTAATCTTTTCCAGGATGTGTTTTGTTCAAATGAGTGAGTCCCAACCCTGATAATAGCAAAATGTTGTTTCCTAGTTGGTAGTGACAAGACTGTTACAAGAAAATTCACTTAATAGTAGCAAAGCCTTATAATGATTTTCTCCCACTTTTTTGTGAGTAGGTTCAAGATTCCCCATAGTAATTCCTTTTGCTTATAGGGACAGAGGCATAGCTGGCACTTCAGGATATCTGCATCCTACATTAGTTACATTGCAGTTTGTGATCTTTGTAATATTCAAGAAAATAGCGATATGTTGGCTGTTTTTCTGTTTTCCCTGCAGGTGCTCACTGATAAGGGATAGAGACTCCTTAGCTGCCTCTTATGTTTGTGTCCTTTTTGTTACAATATTTTCCATATTAGAAATTCTGTGTAAGATATTTTGCCCCTAAACATTTACCAAACGAGGATTTTAATACTATTTTTATAAATACAATTTAAATAACTTTAATATAATTATTAAAGTAAACAAGTTACAGGAAATTCCAATTTTAAAAAATTGAGTTACTTTAATTCATTGTTGATTCATCAAATAAAAAAAATTAAAATACATGGTAGAATGAAACTTGAAACTGGAATTATCATAGTCATGTTGGTTATTAGTTTTTTTAAATCACCATAAGGATGGAATTATGTTGATTTTATAAAGCTACATATTTAAAACTAGAAATTTATGAAGTTCCAAAAGTTTATGAACTATATATATATATATATATATATCTTTTCATGCTACATAATATCTTGTCATGTATTTAAGGGCTTAAGTTAAAAATACTTACCAATGAGCTCTTCAGGGAAACAAGAAATTTCCCAGGAGGGAGAAATTTAAAACAATCAAAAGCACCAGAATCTAAATATATTAAATGAGAAATTAGTCTACTCCTGAAAATATTTCTGGTAGCCAAATTTTGGCCACATAATTTCTTTGTTAAAGATATTCCTCTTCAGACTAATTATTGTCATTGATTTTAAGTGTGTCACTCTGTATGATAGATGGAGTGCAAGAGATTCATTCTGAACTTGTATCGGTATGTTCAGATTATTCTTTGATGAAGATACTTTATAAATGGTTGCTAATCAAAAAGTTTATCACTTGTCTATAACTCTCAGTATTTAAATAAATGTAATTATTAGTAATTCTTGCCATGTTACACCTTGATCTTTTGGATAAAATATTTTTGTCTGTTTCAATATTTTACACAGTGATATAAACAGATAATTCCATGTAAGTTCCAAGAAGTATAGGTCTTAAGAAAGAATATGATAATCTACCATACGAGGTTATAGTAATAGGATTACACATAATGATACAAAAATCAGTTTCTCCGATTTTTCTCTTGATTTAGTACAAATTAGAGCATAAAAATTTCAAAGCAGACTTTGAAAATCTATTTCATGCAATAATACTACCACTTTAATTTTTTAACGTATCACACTTCAAAGTACTTTTGTGTAACTCTGCTTTACTTTGTTGATTTGGAATAAAAGTTGATTAAACATTAATATCTAACCACTTTCAATTTTTGTTCACCAGTAATTTTACACAGATACCACATTTAGCAGGAACAGAACAAAACTTTCAGCTTGCAAAGCAAATTCAATCCCAGTGGAAAGAATTTGGCCTGGATTCTGTTGAGCTAGCACATTATGATGTCCTGTTGTCCTACCCAAATAAGACTCATCCCAACTACATCTCAATAATTAATGAAGATGGAAATGAGGTAAAAAATAAATAAATAAATAAAAGAAACATTCCCCCCATTTATTCTTTTTCAAATACCTTCTATGAAATAATGTTCTATCCCATCTCTAAATATTAATAGAAATCAATATTATTGGATCTTGTGAATACCTTTAATATCTCATTATCCGTGTCAACTACTTTCCTATGATGTTTGAGTTTACTGTGTTTTAGAAAGATTCGAGAAATTAATGCTTGATAACAGCTGCTGTTTTTTAGTTTTTAGTACTACACACCAATATCAAATATGATATACTTGTAAACCTCCAAGCATAAAAAGAGATACTTTATAAAAGAGATTCTTTTTTTCTTTTTTTTTTTTCCAGATGGAGTTTCACTCCTGTCAGGCAGGCTGGAGTGCAGTGGTGCCATCTCGGCTCACTGCAACCTCCACCTCCCATGTTCAAGGGATTCTCCTTCCTCAGTCTCCTGAGTAGCTGGGATTACAGGTGTGCACCACCACACCCAGCTAATTTTTGTATTTTTAATAGAGACAGGGTTTCATCATGTTGGCCAGGCTAGTCTCGAACTCCTGACCTCAGGTGATCCACCCGCCTCAGCCTCCCAAAGTTGTAGAATTACACGTGTGAGGCACTGCGCCTGGCCAGGAGATACATTTTTGATAGGTTTAATTTATAAAGACACTGCACAGATTTGGAGTTGCTGGGAAATGCACGGATCCAGTATGCAGTTTGACCCAGCAAGTTTTTATTGGTACTTAATGATTATGTCTCAATTGATCAGGTTGAACTCTGTGCGAAGAATTTGTGTGTGGACATTTGGAGAGGACAAGTTTGGAGGCAAGGTATTTTAGCATGGTATTTAAAGAATTTGCAATCTTGTTTGCAAGTTGGGGCATATACTTGAGAAAGAGAAGACAATGCAGATAAATTGATATATTTATTATGATGTATGTTCAATATGAAAGATCACAAAATATAACATACATTCATCCTTACTTAACATACCTCAGTTTTAGAGCTACCGTATGTAGAAGAGTCCATTTCTATTTAGGTAAGTTCCTTTAGTCCTTTTATTACTGGGCACTCTTAATTACATGTAGCTTGAAATATGTCCAGTTTGATCAGTGAACTGAAAATGTCATGTGATTTAAGTACATATATAATTTTTTTTCATAGTAGGTCAATAACCTCCTTTTATTGACTAATGAATCAGTCTCTTCTTAATGATTAATATGTTGTTATGTTTTACAGTCAGTGATATAATTCCATACTAAATTTTCTAATGTGATTGGAGCTTTTCATATTAACTACTGTTCTCAATCATAGTAGTTAACAATATAACTTTAAAAAATATTATTAAGCCAGGCGTGGTGGCATGTTCCCCTAATCTCAGCTACTTGGGAGGCTGAGATAGGATGATTGCTGGAGCCAGGAGTTGCAGACCAGCTTGAACAACATAGCAAGACTCCACCTTAAAAGGAAAAAAAAAAAAAAGAAAAACAAACTAAAAAAACCCTAAAATATATTATATTGAAAAGGCAATACCACTACACGTCATATAGTCTCAGAATGTTTGTTAAATAAGTGGTGGCATATCTATACAGTTAAATACCGAGGGGTCTTTAAAACATGTTCAGAAAATTTATTTAAAGAAATAAAATATTGACAATGTTAAAATGTATACATATGCTTAAACGTCTCTTTGATCTATCAAATTTGAGAATTGTCTAGGTACAATGTGGAAAAGAGCAGACATATAATATATTTTAGTTTTTGTTTTTGTTTTTTTTGAGACGGAGTCTCGCTTTGTCGCCCAGGCTGGAGTGCAGTGGCGGTATCTCCGCTCACTGCAAGCTCCGCCTCCCGGGTTCACACCATTCTCCTGTCTCAGCCTCCCTAGTAGCTGGGACTACAGGCTCCCGCCACGACGCCCGGCTAATTTTTTTGTATTTTTGGTGGAGACGGGGTTTCACAGTTTTAGCCAGGATGGTCTCGATCTGCTGACCTCGTTATCCACCCGCCTCGGCCTCCCAAAGTGCTGGTTAGTTTTTTTTTAAGATGGGGTCTTGCTATGTTGTCGTTTTTTTCTTCTTTTTTCGTTCCTCCTCACTTCCCAGTTTTGACTATACCATTGCTTATTTTATTTCATTATTTACTTTTGTATTACAAACATGCATAATGTTACCAAAGCCTGTTACATAATACAAAATGAATCATGTAAAAGTTTCACTTGGGAGATTTTCCTGAATAGTGTTAGATACCTAGTTTCTTAATTTTTTAAATTTATATCATTAGTTCTTTTTTATTTTTATCCAAGTTATATATGTACATAACCACATAATTTTCCTGAGTGCCTTGCTTTTTCTCTATTTTCCTCTTTCCAGAGGCAATCATTATTCAACTATAAGTTAATTCTTTTTATATTTACATCTATTTCTATAAATTACATGCTTATATGGCTTTTATTTCAGATGCAGGCATTATCTATTGACATTGTGACAAGTCAGCTCCCTGTTCATCCCTTGGCCCCAACCACCATGTTCTCTTACTACCTCCCATCTCCCAGTACAATTTAATTGTTATGAATAACAGTTCACAGCTGAGCTATGTGGTAAACTATGATTTCTTTTATACCCCTGCACAAAACAGACAAGTTCTCCATCCGTAGGCAACAAATATGATTAGTATTTTGTGGATCCTATGAGAAATATTTTTAATGTATACAGAGACATTGTTTCACCTTTGATTATGCAGAAATAACATCCCATAAAGATTTAACTATATATTGACTTTTTTATGTCACAAAATGTAAACAGAAATTATAAACTAATATTGTTTTAGTTATACTCAGAATATATAATTTGAGGCTACCAGTGCATTTTGGAAAGTAAAAAATACTCTAAGACTGAAATTTAATCTAACTTTGATAAAGTCAACCAAAAAGGCATTTCCTTGACATTAAAAACTTTTCTTACTTGTTAGAATAGCTCATAAACTTGCTGTAAAATTCAGTGTGGCATAGTGGTGCTGCAAAATTGATTACCATAAAGGCAAATCAAGTGAGACAAGTTTGAATATTCCCTTGCCTGAAAGACATGCTTATATAATGACTTTGTTCCTTTATTGATTTTTATTGCACCTCAGCATAATTTTTCTTTTAATCTTACCTAGTGATTCAGATGAGTTCATTTCTCATGTGAATCACAGAAAAAAATATGGGAAATTTGGAATATGTGGGGATGTGGCAAGTCGTAGTTGATTTGGTTTCATTTTAGCTTCTATCCATGTCAGAAAAGGGAAATAACTACTGCTCTAGTCAGTACAATGTAAAATCTGCCCAGATCCCCTCCTCATCTCCAAATCCCTCCCATTTGTATTACTGCACTGACCAAGACCTATACAATATAATGTTGAAAAGAAGTTTTGATAGCAGATATCCTTAACTTTCTTCTGGTCTTGAAGGAAATACCTTTAATTCTTTCTCACCATTAATTATGGTATTTACTGTTTTCTTTTTCTGGTTATCTTAAAGTACATCCTTTCCACATATACTAAAATTTTTTGCTGTATGGATTTATATTAAACACATTTTTCTTTAAGATGAGCATGCGATTTTTCTTTCTTGATCTGAAGATGACATTCAGTGTATTCTAATGTTAGAATAATCTTATATTTTTTGAACTTGTAATATTAGCATTAGGGTTTTAAATTCATATATTGATATATATTATGTTTATACTCATAGCATGTTTAGTCTGTGTTTTTGCAATCTATTTGTTGGGTTATAATTTCAATATTCTACTTGCCTTCTAAAATGAGTTGGGTTTTTAATATTTTCTGAAGTAGGTTTTATTGCAATTAAATTATTTTTTCCTTTAACCTTTCAAACTCAAGGAAAACCAGTTGGCCTTGACTCTGTTTGTGGAAAATTTTAAACTACTGGTTTAATTTCTTTATTGGTTGTAATATGACTATTTTACGTCATATAACAATTTTTATTGTTTGTTAAATGACTTTATTGTTTGTCATATGATAATTTTATGTCATAGAACAATTTTTATTGCTTGATATATGACTTTATTGTTATATGGCTATACAACTAGATTTTTTTGTTGTTTTTGACCGAGTCTTACTCTGTCACCCAGGCTGGAGTGTAATGGCATGGTCTCAGCTCACTGCAACCTCCGCCTCCCGGGTTCAAGCAATTCTCCCACCTCAGCCTCCCAAGTAGCTGGGACTACAGGCATGAGCCACCGCACCCGGCTAATTTTTGTATTTTTAGTAGAGACGTGGTTCCACTATGTTGGCCAGGCTGATCTCGAACTCCTGACCTTGTAATCCACCCGCCTCGGCCTGCCAAAGTGCTGGGATTACAGGCGTGAGCCATTGTGCCTGGCCGATTTTTTAAAAAATGTATTCTTATGTCAGTTTTCATAAGTTTTATTTAAAATGCATTTTCCATTTGATGTAAGCTTTCAAATTTATAGTATAGTTGTTCCTAGTATTTTCTTATCTTTTGTAATCTGTTCAGCGTCTGTAGATGTGCCTCTTTTTAATAAATAATATTATTTGTTTGCGCTTTTGCTATTTTTTTTTCTTATTGCTCTTGAGAGGGATATGTCAAATTTACTAGTGTATCCAAAGAATAAACTTTGGCTTTGGCAATCTTTTCTCATCTATCTTTGCTTTATATTTTATTAATTCTGTTCTTGTTTTATAATTGCCTCTTTTATCTTCTTTGTGTTTACTTTGCTGTTCTTTGTAAAATCCTCAGTAGAATGCTTAACTTATTGACATTCAGTCTTTCTTCATTTCTATTATGAGTATTTAGAGCCATAAATTTCCCCTTTAACTTCCCTTTCCACTTCAACTACATCTCACAAATTTGGATTAGGAGTAGTTTAATTATCATTAGTATCTAAATATTTTTTAATTTCTGTATTTTCTTCTTTGATCCTGCAACTATTTACAAGTATTTTTTAAAATCCTGAATATAAAGATTGTTATTGTTATTTGTTTGATCTGATCTCTAAATTGAATATATTGAGATCAGATAATGTGGTTTGTAGGACACTAATCCTTTGACAATTGTTGAGGCTTCCTTTGGAACCTAATATGTGCTCAGTTTTTATAGACGTTCTGTGTTTCTTTGGGAAAAACATGTATTTGATGGTTGTTTGGTTTAATATTTTGTATTTGTACATTAGTTTGAGTTTGCTTATTATTTGGCTGAAATCTCCATTATCCTTAATGTGCTCTCTCATTTTGTCTGCTTCCTTTATTAATTAGAGATAAATGTTAAATTATCTCACCTCACTATAGTGATGTCTGTTTTATACTATATATATAAAATTTATAATTCCATAAATTTATGTTATGTATAATTTGGAGACCTATTATCATATATAAACAGAATTGTTGATGAAATGACAGACTTATACTTATGTAGTAGCCTTTTTTATCTCGTCATAATGTTATTTGACTTTGTCCTAAAATTTTTTTTAATTAATATTTGTTTGGTATTTCTTTTTCAGCGGGTTTATGTCACTGCTTGTCAATTGGTACACAGCTGATTTTATTTAGACATGCTACGCTTTTTAATTATTCTTTTTTCCATTTTCATTTTTTATAATTCTGATATACAATATTTAGGTCACTTTTACCTTCCTCTAGTGTGAATTTTACTCTTCCTTTTTTCCCCTAAAGCTTTGGTGTCATAATTCAATCAATATTTCTACAATATAGAAACCTTAGAACACTTTCACTTTTGTTATATATTACCAATTTATATGCATAATTTTAATTCAGTCTTGTTTCATAAACTTGATAAATATGTTTATTAATATGATAGTAATAAGAATTTGGGAATTCTTTAAGGCTAATTTGAAGGCTGATTCCTCCTGATCATTTCTCTTAGGCCCCAGGGAGCACTACAAACCTGGCACTGCTTTAAAATAAATATTTTCGCTTGAGGCATACTATATAAACAGTGAATGGAAATTTGTAGGGTTATGAATTATCTGGAACCCTTTTTTCCTGCTTTACGCTAAGCCATTACTTTCCATGGAGCAAGTTTATTTTGAATTTATCCTTAACCCTGAAGGATATTGTTGTTCTTTTTTTTTTTTTTTTTTTTTTTGTCACCCAGGCTGGAGTGCAGTGGCATGATCTCCACTCACTGCAAGCTTGCCTGCTGGGTTCAAGTGATTCTCCTGTCTCAGCCTCCTGAGTAGCTGGGATTACAAGCACGTAGGCCCGGCTAATTTTTGTATTTTTAGTAGAGACGCGGTTTCACCATGTTGGTCAGGCTGGTCTCAAACTCCTGACCTCGTGATCCACCCACCTTGGGCTCCCAAAGTGCTGGGATTACAGGCGTGAGCCACCTCACCTGGCCAGGATATTGTTGTTCTTAGACCAGCTTTATGCACAGTCTTCTGCTAGATTCCATTATGTGAACCAGCTTTAAACTAACTCCTGAATCCTTTTCATGGGGCCATAGGCTTTGATAGATCCATCTAAGGCAAAGCCAAATTTCGTGCTACCTCTGAGGATTCTTGCTTTCATTTTATTTTTTTGCTTCTGAATATTCCTTACTATTTTTTTTCCAATTTAATTTTAAACTTAAAAAAACATATATTTGGTTCAGTGTTTTTCATTCTTTTCAGTGCATATGTTGTTCAGAGAATCTAGATAAGGCCAGTTGTGGATTCCCCAATCATGTACTTTTTTTTAAAGTAAATTTAATATTTAATTTGTTCCTAGGTAATTATCTAAGCACTATTATAATGATTGAGATTACCAAACAAAGGTACTTTTTATTTGGTGATTAAAATCTTTCTCCAAAATCGAAAGCTAGTCCTTACAAGTTCTCTCAAGAAATTCATGAGGTTAATTTACTTCTAACCTTCTGTGAAGCAACTACATATTTAGGCTTGTGTTCACACTAGCTTAGTATGTATGCCACTTACAAAAAATAAATTTCTAATTCTTCCTTCTATCAGTACACAGTTTACAGTATATAGTATTCCTTTTGGAAGAGTATCTTTTTACCTCCTCTGAGCTTTTCTTTCTATAGTACTTACTTATTTTATGATTGTTGTTTTTCATTTGGTTGATTTTTAGTTATTGGTGGGGTTTTTTTAGCTTTGTTTCCTTGAATAGATCTAACCATTTTGAGGACAGAATCTGTGATTTATTCATCTCGTGAATTCTTCACAACTTCTAGCATAGTGCTGGGTATCTGATACTATCATCAAAATCCTGAAGGATTCATTCACCCTCTACTGACATAAAAGATAATATTCATTTTTTTTGTGTTTGATTACAGTAATCAAACTTTAACTGTTTTATTTTGATTATAATATTTTGTTTCTCTAGATTTTCAACACATCATTATTTGAACCACCTCCTCCAGGATATGAAAATGTTTCGGATATTGTACCACCTTTCAGTGCTTTCTCTCCTCAAGGAATGCCAGAGGTAAAAACACAGTGCAACAAATAAAAATGACAAAAAGAAGCCTTCCTTCTCTTCATATGTTCAGCCGATAATTAAAGGGTCATAAAGGGACTTTTAATGTAATCCAATTCATTTTTCCACATTTAAGTAATGAGAATGTCTTAGTAAGAAGAAGGAATATTGATTATATTTTATTAATGGTATTTTTAAAGATACAACTTACTGCAATGAGATGCACAAATCCCAAATGCACATTTATTGATTTTTGACAAATGCCAACATCTGGGTGATCCAAATCCCATCAATGTACAGCATATGACCTTCACTTCAGAAAGTTCCCTTATGGTTCTTCTTAATCAACTCTACATACCCCAGAGGATATCTTTCTTTGACATTTCTGCCACCATAAATTAGTTTTGCCTATTCTAATTTTTCATCTTTTTGTTCACTCTGTGTTTTCCTTTGTTGAAAAGAGATCCTTAATTTTGACGTTGTCAAATTATTTTCCTTATGTTTTTGCACTTTGGGCCTTCTTTATTAATATTCTCCTTCTTTATGATTTACAGTGATATAACTTCATGACTTATGTATACCAAAAATTAACAATACATTTTTATTTAAAAATAGTATTAATATTATCAGATTGAAGCTAAATATAAAAGACCAGATAGTATATGATAGCAGAAAGTATAATGAATAAATTTAATTTAAAATAGCTAAAAAAATATAAAATATACTTTAAAAATCTTAAATGAATGTGATCTATTGAAGAAGTTGAAGTGTGAAGTGTGAAATTGAAGAACACTGAAATGTATTGAGCAGTGAAAAGACTGTGTATAAAAAAACAGGTTGGCCGGGTGCGGAGGCAGGCAGATCAACTGAGGTCAGGAGTTCGAGATCAGCCTGGCCAACATGGGGAAACCCCATCTCTATTAAAAATACAAAATAATTAGCCAGATGCGGTGACACACAACTGTAGTCCCAGCTACTCAGGAGGCTGAGGCAGGAGGATGGCGTGAACCCGGGAGGCGGAGCTTGCAGTGAGCTGAGATTGTGCCACTGCACTCCAGCCTAGGTGACAGAGCGAGACTCCATCTTAGAAAAACAAAACAAAACAAAAGAAAAAACAGTTAAACCGTTTATGTTTCTGGCTGAGAAGACATCATATTATAAGGAGAAAATTACACCTAGATTAGTTTGTAGGTTTACTGCATACCCAATTAAAATCTTCCAAATAATTTTTGGACTTTGACATTACTATTAATCGTAAGAAAGAGTTATAAAGACCGTTGTCTCTTATTTCCTTCAAATAGACTTAAAATCTTCCAGATCAATGGCTAAATACAAAGAGCACACATGTTGTATGGGTTTGCTGTTTATGTTCAAATATCAGATGAGTTTGCTGATCGGTGTTCCTCACTGGATCATCTGTAACCCAGCCAGTGGAATGTCAATTCTTTCAAAACTATGTATGTCCATATGTGTGTTTAAAACGTTTTACAGGCCAGGCGCAGTGGCTAACGCCTGTAATCCCAGCACTCTAGGAGGCCGAGGGGGGCGGATCAAGAGGTCAGGAGATCCAGACCATCCTAGCTAACACGGTGAAACCCTGTCTCTACTAAACATGCAAAAAAATTAGCCGGGAGTGGTGGCGGGCGCCTGTAGTCCCAGCTACTCCGGAGGCTGAGGCAGGAGAATGGCGTGAACGCGGGAGGTGGAGCTTGCAGTGAGCCGAGATCGCGCCTCCTGACCTCAGGTGATCTGCCTGCCTCCGCACCCGGCCAACCTGTTTTTGTATACATAATCTTTTCACTGCTCAATACATTTCAGGGTTCTTCAATTTCACACTTCACACTTCAGCTTCTTCAATAGATCACATTCATTTAAGATTTTTAAAGTATATTTTATATTTTTTAGCTATTTTAAATTAAATGTATGCACTTCAGCCTGGGCGACAGAGCTAGATTCCGTCTCAAAAAACAAAACAAAACAAAAATTCACGATCAGTAATCTTTGAATTTACGTCTGAATCCTGTGGAATATGAAATATGGGACTCTGCTTTATGCTATTTAAAATTAGCAATTTGCGATGTTCATAAAATATAGTCTATCTAGTGGTTCTCAAGCTTTAGTGTCTGTCACAATAATCTGGATGGCTTGTAAAACACAGATTCTAGTTTCCACTCCCTAAGTTTAATGGGGTGGAGCCTGAGAGTTTGTGTTTGTAACAAGCGTGATATTGTTTCTGAGGGTCCAAGGACCATCTTTGAGAATCACTGGTTTTGCCTCCCAATTCTGTCTCTATAAATAAGAGTTAGGGAGATGGAAGCTTAAGGAAACAAAGAAAATTCCGGGCTAAGAGTGCAAGATTCTATTTATTCACAGTCATAGAACAATGGATGGTACAGTGTAAGTTGTACAAGAAGGTCTTTGTCTAAAAACAAAGCTCTTTTCTAACAGTGACAACTTGCATTTGAGAAGTGCTGAGAGGGAATATCTGTCACACTTGTTTTCATTTTCAAAGTTTACTCTCATTTTTAAGCTAATATGTTTTTCAGTTTTCTCTCCCTCACAGTTTGTTTTGTGAGGATTGCTGATATATCAAAAGACAGCCACATTTAGAGACATTTAAAGGTACAATCTCCTCAAAGTTACTTATATTAAGGGTAAAGAAAGTAGGATATTTACACTAAAAAAATTATTTTGCTGAAATCACATTGGTTAATGACTTTGTAGCCACAGTTAAAATAGAATGAGTGTGCTCCAGAGAGGGTTAACAATGATAAATCAGACATATAGTGTTATGATTAATAGTGCATTAATATTACATTGGTCTTAGGAAGAAATACAAGAGCTAAATGTAATCCTTTTACAGAGGCAAAGATTCAAATGTCAGTTTCCCAATTAGACTTTCCTCATTTTATTTAATATTACACCCACTTAAGCTCTAGTTCACCATTTGTATACTCTATTTAAATGCTTTTTAATTTTTTCTATACTACTTATCACCTTTTAATATAATGTATGCTTTGCTTAGTTATTAACTTTAATGCTCATTATTGTATTATCCCATCCACATTACAGGAAACCCCCAACTTAAGATGGCTACTTAAAATTTTTTGACTTCATGATGGTGCAATAGCCATACTCATTCAATACACTTCTCAACTTACCATGAGGTTATGTCTGGATAAACCCATTATAAATTGAAAATATCCTAAGTCAAAAACACACTTTAGGTGTATAATTATTTTCAACTTAGGTGAGTTTAGTAAGACTTAATTCCATTGTGAGTGAAGGAGGACCTGCAGTGTAAGTTCCTTCAAGGGCAGAGATTTGTTGTATTACATAGGGCACTGCCTAACACATAATAGATCTTCACCAATTTGTCAAATTAATCCTAGAATCAGCTTGGAAACAATTCTATTTTAATATCTTATGTATATTTGTCGTGTACATGCTATGAAAAATGTAGTCAAAAAGGAAAACAATAACCAAAATAAAATGATAGGATATTGGAAATCATCTGGGACAGGGGTTTCAAACTAGGCTGTGTAAAGACTTTCGAAAGGCAAGCATGACATGGTTTTAAAGAGATCAGTTTGCAGATCATCAATTACCCTGTGCGCTTTTTCATGGTATTGAAAGCTAGCCTGTCGTGAGGTCCTGCTCCCTATTTACAAGCATTTTCATCTTATTTTATAAATGAAAAACATCTCCTACCCATTCTAAGTCAATATGAAGCATATATCTGTGTTGTAAAAATCTCTGGGGCTTCAAAAAAAGAGACAATTAGAAATATTGTTTTCAATGTTAAGATAGTGAATGGTTCTAATAGCTATGTAACAAATTCTTAGCAATTCAAATGGTTTACAATTGAGCAAAATTAAAGGTAAACCCAATTGAGTTTCCAGCTAATATCATTAAAAGACACTTGAATGATGGATCAATTTGTGATTTTCAGATTATAACTTGAAAGAAGTTTAAATAAGTTAGTAACAATTCCATAACAAATCTTTCATTCCTATCCAAGTTTTCTCAGAACTTACTGTAAAAACAAGAAATGTAAATTGAACTGTTGTTGCTGATCCCAGTCTCATTCTAGCAATAATTTGTTCACCCACTGAACAAATGTGTTAAGATAACGCTTCACTGTCCCACTCATTGCATTCAAAGATATATTTCTAATCAAATTTTATGGTTATGCATTATATATAAGAATTGCAATGATGTTGTTAGACTTAATTTGATACTGCTAGTAATTATAATTATAACTTAATCTATCTTTTTTTTTTTTTTTTGAGACCAAGTCTTACTCTGTCGCCCGGGCTGGAGTGCAGTGGTATGATCTTGGCTCACTGCAACCTCCACCTCCCGTGTTCAAGCAATTCTCATACCTCAGCCCCCGAGTAGCTGGGATTACAGGCGGTGCCACCACGCCCAGCTGATTTTTGTGTTTTTAGTAGACATGGGTTTTCACTATGTTGGCCAGGCTGGTCTTGAACTCCCAACCTCAAGTGATCCACCCAACCCAGCCTCCCAAAGTGCTGGGATTACAGGCATGAGCCACCATGCCTGGCCTATAATTATAACTTACTCTTGAAGCTGTTTCTTAACACAATCTGTCACAAAAATAAATTTTTTAAAAAATTTGACTTATAAAGATATACTGATTCAAGGAAATTTGACAGTGATTAATAAAAGACTTTCAAGCATACCCATATTTAAGGTAATAGATTCTGAATTGAAATTTAGAATGCTAGTTGATAATTGTGGAGTGTTCTCTTGGGATCAACATCTGTGAAAAGCAGAGCTGGATTAGGCAGAGGGAGAAGTCACCCTGCAATGCCAGCTGAAGGATAGCCTTGGCTAAGCCCATAAGGAGGTCTGGAATAGTTTCTCAGAATTGTCCTACGTTAGACTGAGATGTCCAGGTCTCTGTACCCTCACATCAATCAGTCACTGAATGTGTGGCATTCTAGAAAGGGACATGACCTTGAGCAAGGGGGCTGTCTACAGCTGAGGCAATCCTTGAAGGGGCTGACAGATGAAGATTGTCTGCAGAGAGCCTTCCCTGCAGCTGGAGCAAAAAGTCCTTCATTGACCGTGAATCTGGACAGCTCATCTGGTGCCCAGCACAAATATATTTTACTTTAGAGTAAAATTCTGTGGGGGAAGATGGACAATATACAAGTTCAAGAAAAAAAAAGAGATGACAAAATTTTGACTGTAAAGAACAGCATGTTCATGTATTTTTTAAAATTGATGATGTTGAATAGTAAATAAATACAGTATTTAAATCATTTGGATCAATATAAAAGTTGTATACAATTTCTTCTAAAAATATTAATATTTATAGTAAGCTAGATATTGCATGCTTTGCAGCTACTTAAAGGTATGATAAAAAATTTTAAATTTTAGATGAAGGGGGACATTGTCAAAATTAATTTAGGGAATAGGTGAGCAAAAAAGGTTGGAAGATCACTGATTTAATCTAGCAGATCATTGAGCCAATGAGAATATCGAGACTCAAATATGTTATAAGATTTGCACATAATCACTTAATGATTGAAATCAGACCTGTGAAGCAATGATGTTACCTGTGCATTTTTCTTTACTTGGTGGTTGTTAAGAACCATTAAGCTACTCCCTGTGAACACACACTGAAGAGAGAAAAGGTCTCATTAAGGGCTTCTTAGCCTAGGGTATCTGGACACCTTCAAGTTGCGTGCAGCAATGTGTACACGTATATGCTTTTCTGTGTGTGTGTGGGGGGGGTGCTTCTGTAGCTTCAGCTTCGTAGCCACTAAATATGGGACAAATACAAACAAATATTACTTTATTCATGTGCTTCTAGCCCATCTAATTCCATTCTCAATTTAAATTCATTTTTCCCTTGAATCTCTTCTTTGGAGCTCATGCATTTCTGACCTTCCTGTGTGCTCTGACCTCTTCCCTCTTTCAAAAATGTCCAACAGTCCCCATGCAGAAAAACCTCCTTGTTTTATATCTGACTCATATTAAGTCATTCCCGATCTCAACAGGGCGATCTAGTGTATGTTAACTATGCACGAACTGAAGACTTCTTTAAATTGGAACGGGACATGAAAATCAATTGCTCTGGGAAAATTGTAATTGCCAGATATGGGAAAGTTTTCAGAGGAAATAAGGTAAGGTAAAAATTATCTCTTTTTTTCTCTCCCCCAATGTAAAAAGTTATAGTGGGTTTTACATGTGTAGAATCATTTTCTTAAAACTTTATGAATACCATTATTTTCTTGTATTCTGTGACATGCCCACCTTACAGAGAGGACACATTTACTAGGTTATATCCCGGGGTTAAATTCGAGCATTGGAATTTGGCCAGTGTAGATGTTTAGAGTGAACAGAACAAATTTTTCTGTGCTTACAGGTTATGGCTGTGGCCTACAAAGAAGCATGCACTGGGTTTATTATTAACTTTCAGTATCTTTGTTTTAAATATTTTCTACAAAAATGTTTACTAAATTAAATTGTAGTATGAATTGTTATAAATAATGAGGGAAAACAATTTACACATAGCAAATTTAAAAATTACTGTCATTTGATTTGTTAATATATTTTTCTCTTTAGTGGGAAATTAAATTTTAAAAAATTCCCTTTCGACTGTAGAACAAATAGGAATTTGGCCTGTGGGGTCTACTTGCTTATTATATTTGTAAGCTAGTGGTAGGAAATAGCAAATGCTCACTACCACTAATAAGAACATTTCTAAATCTGATGTTCTGAGGATTTTTAGAGCTTATAGTAGCAAAAAGAAAAGGGAAATTCTATCCGAGATGTCCTTTGTTGTAGGCCTAATGAGAAAAGGTTGAAGATAAAGTTCTGGTACTCATTTAAGTGTAATATTGAAAATTGATATTACCGAATCTGGAACAACCAATTTAAAATAAGGAAAGAAAGACACTGTGTTTTCTAGGTTAAAAATGCCCAGCTGGCAGGGGCCAAAGGAGTCATTCTCTACTCCGACCCTGCTGACTACTTTGCTCCTGGGGTGAAGTCCTATCCAGATGGTTGGAATCTTCCTGGAGGTGGTGTCCAGCGTGGAAATATCCTAAATCTGAATGGTGCAGGAGACCCTCTCACACCAGGTTACCCAGCAAATGGTGAATGATCAATCCTTGAATATCATAGGAAACTTAACATTTGAAAGAGACTTTATTAAAGAATTTCCTTTGGTACAATGGACTAAGCATGTCTTTTTTTATTCTCTTTGCATTTAAGAATGAAAGAATTTTGAACTCTAAAGTGATTGGTTCAGGCCCCTTACCCCCTTATTTTGAAACTTGGGCCTGGTGGGCTTTCAAATTCAGACTTATTCAGCTATTTAAAAAACATTATGGTGTTACACATATACCATAACTTGCATAACAGTGACATAGGGGGCTGGGACAGAATATGGGGAAAAAGTATATAAATATTTTTGTTGCAGAGTGTATGAATACTTACGCTAAGTAGTAAGTGGGGGGCGGGGAATAAGGAATATAAACAGACTTATGTCTACTCAAGTCAAATTTTGCTTTCAAATGAGTTCAGGTCAGATCAGGTTTTGCTGTTAAATAAATTCCCCCCAGATTTACAGATTTCACAGTGTGGGTAAGGGACAGGAGAGCAGAAGTTCCATAAACTTTTTAAATGGCCAATTTAGGATATAGGGCCCAGGAAATGCATATTGCTTCATTTCTGTAAGATAACAGAGATAACTTTCAAAGAGTGTTTCCTAAATGCCAGCATTTTACTTGCATTAACAACCCTAAAGCTAGGGGGTGTTATTATCTCTTATTCACAGGGAGGAAAGTGAGACTAGAAGTCAGCCCAAGATCACCCCTCCTCTGAATGGGCAGTTGGATTCAAATTCAGGCAGTCTGGCTCACAGAGTCCACATAGTAGTCTTATGCTGAAAGGCTCCCCTGTAAAACATTAACAAAGGGAGCTAATTTATTTTGAATGTGCTCAACTATTTAATGATGTTTACAAAAATCTGTGATCATTAAGTTTGTGTGGTTTAAAGCTAACTAAATTTTTAAAACTTGTATAAAATACTTTGCCAAGTTTTCTATGACATTTATGTCTTCATCTGGTTTTACTCTTAAATTGTAGACTCCTGTAAAGAGTATGTATTTTTTTTGGCTTTGTAAATCTTCTTAGAACATAATACATTGTCAGAGATTTTTTTCTTTTTTAAAAAATGACACATATTACCCTATAGTAAAATTATATAAATCTACCTGAACTTCATTTGCTCCACCTTTTTATTTCCAAGTTTTAAAAAATGCAGCTTAGCCTAAGCTTTATTAGTTATGCAAAGTCAAAATAATGAAAATAAAATGAGATTAACTGGAATGTTTCTGTTGATTTTCTTCAAATTTGAATGATGGTATTTTAGGGAGAAATTATGTTATTTCTATGGGGCTAATGTTTATTGAATTATATTTTGTGCTCTATACATTTTTATTTTCTTTCTAATTTTACTTTTTATTATGGCATAATTCTAACATATACAAAAGTAGAGACAGTCATCAACATGTTGTCAATCTTGTTTTATTTGTTTATCTCTCCAATTTTATTTTGCTATTATTCTAAAGAATTTGAAAACAAATCCCACACAGCATATCATTGTGTCATTTTACCCATAAAAACAAGGATTTGCAGTTACCTAAGTTTCTTATTAGATTGTTTTAAAAACAGAGAAAAAAATGGAAAAACAACTCTGATTTTTCTTAAGTCTGAAGAAATGATAGGATGTGTGTGCTTATTTTGAGGTACAGTTTACATGCAATAAAATACATAGATCTCAAGAGTTCAGTTCAATAAATTTTGCAAATTGCATGTGTTTATGTCACTTAAAATAGAATATAAGGGCCTTTCCATCACTCTGGAAAGTTCTTTTGTACCCCTTTCTGGTCAATTTTCTCTGTGTCCCCTAGAAGCAATCACTATCTAGTATCTAGCATCGTGTATTCGTTTGCCTGGGTTTGAACTTCAAGTAAGTGGAATCAAACAGTAGATTTTTTTTTAAAGCCTTGCTTATTTCAGTGTAGTAATTTGAGATTTTCTATCATATTGTATGTATTAGTTTTTTTCTTTTGATGATTGAGTAGCATTCCATTGTGGGATTATACTACGGATTGTTTATTCATTCTTCTGTTGTTAGAAACCTAGACTTTGTCTAATATTTGGCTAATATAAATGTGGCTGTTATGAACAATTTTGTACACGTCTTCTTGTGGGCATGTGCTCATCTTTCTAGAGTACCCAGGAGTGGAATTGCTGTGCCATAGTGCACATTTCTGCTTGACATTGCTTTTCAAAAGAGTTACCTTAAGTGATTGTATAATTTTAGCCTAGATTATCACAAGCAATGTATGAGGATTTCAGTTGCTCTGCATTCTCGCTAACATTTGAATTGTTAATCTGTTTTACTTTAACAATTCTAGCAAATGTGAAATTAGAATGTATTTAATGTGATTTATAGAGAACCGTTTGAATGAAACTGAGTTTTTACTGGAAATATGGCAATTTTTTTTTTCAGAATATGCTTATAGGCGTGGAATTGCAGAGGCTGTTGGTCTTCCAAGTATTCCTGTTCATCCAATTGGATACTATGATGCACAGAAGCTCCTAGAGTAAGTTTGTAAGAAACCATGGATGGCTATTTGGGTAATTTTCTTATTGACAGTTTTCAAATGTTAGGCTTTTATCTCCATTTTTTAGTACTTAAATTTTCCAACATGGGTGTTGCTTGTAATTTTATCAGTATAAAATAGAAGAGTGGTTCTGTTCTGGAATTTAGTATATACATGAGTATCTAGTGTATGACAGCCATGAAAATGAACCTTTCAGATGTTTAACTTCAGGGAACCTAATTGATCAATTGCTCCAGACATTGTGCTTTGAAACCCCACTATATTTTTGTCAAGACCATGCTTCCTGTAGGTGTTCTCGGGCAATGACTCAGTGTGGCAAGGATACTACTGCAGGCCTGTTTCTGGAAGGCACTGGACTCCTCTGATGCAAAACTTTGGCCCAGGGACTCCTTGATAGCCTCGCTTAAATAGATGCTGCACCCAACACTCCTCTTTCTTTTCCTCCTCCCTTTTTCCTTTATTCAATATTAGACCTACCTTGCAGTCTAAGGACTTTCTCAGGGTTTCCTAGCTCTCTCCTCATTTTCCACACATGCTTTTCCCTAGTAAATCTCTTACTCATGTATTCCTCTTACTGGCTACGTCTGGGAGGACCCAGAATAACACACTATGAGAGCAACTTCCATTTTGTTTTTATCTCTATT
Source organism: Homo sapiens (assembly GCF_000001405.40). NCBI lineage: Eukaryota > Metazoa > Chordata > Mammalia > Primates > Hominidae > Homo > Homo sapiens. The sequence continues at coordinate 49,182,483 of NC_000011.10, read as the reverse complement.
CTTCTTCCCCTTCTGCTTTCATTATTGAAACTTTCTGCTTTCATTATTGAAACTTTCCCAGATTTGTTCTGCTTAACCTGGCATTGGAACTGTTTCCTCTTCCCTGTGCTGCTTTCTCCCATTGCCATGTCCTTTTTTTTTTTTTTTTTTTTTTTGAGACAGTGTCTCACTCTGTTGCCCAGGCTGGAGTGCAATGGTGCAATCTTGGCTCACTGCAACCCCCGCCTCCTGGGTTCAAGTGATTCTCCTGCCTCAGCCTCCTGAGTAGCTGGGATTACAGGTGCCCACCACTATGCCCGGCTGATTTTTGTATTTTTAGTAGAGATGGGGTTTCACCATGCTGATCAGGCTGGTCTCGAACTCCTGACCGCAGGTGATCCGCCCTCCTTGGCCTCCCAAAGTGCTGAGATTACAGGCATGAGGCACTGCGCCCAGCCACCATTATTCTTTAGAGGTGAGAGAACACTGGCTTTTCTAAAAGTGAAATTGATAGAGACCAAAGCGTCTGGCCAGGTAGTCCCTTTTCTTCTTTAAGTTCAAGCCTTTCTTACTAATTTTATTCCAGTATCTATGAGGAAGCACTTTTTGACCAAGGGCAAGGCACTCATTTTTAGAGGTGAGGAGGCTGACGTCTGGGGAGTAGGACACATCTGTTCAATTTAAGGGCAGATTAAGAAAGTACCCTGGTCTTTCTTCCTTGGGGCTATAAGATTTACTGCATTGGTTAAGATTCAGGACCAGGCACAACTTTTGATAGCACCATAGACTATGCATTTGCCTAAAAATATGTATAAATAAAGACTAAGTATTCATGACATTTAAAAGATAAAAGTGATTTTAGCATTACTTGTAATAGTGGAAAACTGTAGACAACACAAATCTTCAACAATTTATATGTACTCGAATAATACATTAATTACTCTGATAGTAAATGAAGTGATTAAAAGATATTATATGTAGTACCAGAATAATTAATAATATAGAAAAATGCTTATATTATTAAGTGAAGAAAAGCAAATTTCAAAACTATATATATATAGTATTATCTCAGTTTTATAAAAAATTAAAACATGGGGCTGGGCGCGGTGGCTCACACTTGTAATCCCAGCACTTTGGGAGGCCGAGGCGAGCAGATCATGAGGTCAAGAGATGGGGACCATCCTCGCCAACATGGTCAGTGAAACCCCGTCCGTACTAAAAATACAAAAATTAGCTGGGCATGCTGGTGCATGCCTGTAGTCCCAGCTACTCAGGAGGCTGAGGCAGGAGAATCACTTGAACCCGGGAGGCAGAGGTTGCAGTGAGCCGAGATCGCGCCACTGCATTCTAGCCTGGGCGACAGAGTGAGACTCCGTCTCAAAAAAAAAAAAAAAAAATTTAAAACATGAACCTGTATTATCTTTGTAATTACAAAAGAGGGATGCATAATATTATGGAATTAGATGTGAGATTTATTTAGACGTCTACGATTTGGTCTGGTTTACTAGGTCAATATCAGCTGTGCTCTGATTGTGTAATGGAATTATCTGATTGATTGAAAAATAACAAACACAATTCATCTGACATTACTGTGTCAGCCTCTGTAAGCCATTTTACAAATACAATCACCGTTAATAACATAACTTTCATGAAAAAGTGCATTTTACATTCAAAATTTCATAATTAAAAATAGACACTATTTATCCACCTATACTTTCTAAGCCATAATGAAACAGTCCATATAAGTGGAATTTAGTTTTAAAAAATTGTTTAAAAGAACATATGGTTTGTTTATGAATTTCACTGTGAAAATTTACTCTCTTGGCACACGTACCTTGGGAGTGTGCCAAGATACTCAATTCTGAGGTTCTCTCAAGTGGTTAGCAGTTTAGCATTGTGCACTAATTAGAAAAGACAGTGTTTTACAAATGGAATATATCATGAAATAAAAGTTTATTAATAAATGTGTGAGTAAATGAGGAGAGATATAAAGTCATATAATGGCCGAAGAATGCTGAGAACTTAAATAAAAAGTTGATGAAATGTGAGTGATGTTAAAAACTTCAATGTTGACTTGAGTGGGACAGAAAGGGGACACCATATATACTGTTTCCTATTTTTCTTTACATGTACCCTGAACACAGTGTGATTATGTGGTTTTAATTTGCCTTCTACAGTAACTTCCAGGACGATAATTATAGTGCCAACGGCAACAGTAATAGCATGTATCCTGCATGGAGGGCTAATTACGCTTTAGCACTTACTGTTGTGCTAAATGCTTTACACACATCTCCTCAATTAACCTATAAAACAACAATATGAGTTAGTATTGTGATACTCATTGTAACCAATGTTCAGAGAGTAAGTGAGAGAGCCGGGGCCCAAATTGATGTCTGATGCAAAAGACACTTTGGTAAACACTACTTACTCTCTACTCAATGACGCAAGCATTTAGTAGCCACCTCTGTTGATTATAGTATTGGCTCATTCTTATGCCTCTGCTCGGGAGACCTTTAATGGCGTCTCACAGCCCACTCACTCAAGAAACATTTATAGAATGACTTTTATATTTCAGGCACTGTGGTAGAAGTAGGAATTAGGTAAAGTCAGTAGTAATGTCCTATCTTGTATTCTTGATTTTAGTAATTACTTTTTAAACTTGGTCAGTTTAACTAATGGTTTGCTGATTTTGTTGATCTTTTTAAAGAATCACCCTTGGTTTCATTGATTTTCTCTATTTATTTTATTATTTCTCTTTCAATCTTTGTAATTTCCTTTCTTATGCTTTAGAGTTTAGTTTAGTTTTCTTTGTCCAGTTTCTTAAGGTGAAAGCTTAGCTTAATGATTTGAGATTCTTTCTATATAGGTGTTTACAGCTATGTATTTTCCTTTAAGCACTGTTTTTGCTGCATCTCATAAATATTGGTATGTTGTGTCTTCATTTTCATTCATCTCAAAGCATTTTTAAATTGTATTTGCAAGTTCTTCTTTGACCCATTGGTTATTTAGGAGTTAGTTGTTTAATTTCCATATATTTGTGAATTTCCTAAATTTACTTTTGTTATTGATTGCTAAATTCCTTTTATTGTGGTTGGATTAGTAAAAGAAGTATATGAGTAATAAAATGATTGTATAATTTCAACCTTTTAAATTTATCCAGGCTCGTTTTACAGACGTGATTTATTATGAAAAATGCTCCATGTGCACTTGAGTTACACTATTTTTCAATTTCTTTCTCAAGGAATCTTAGTCATTTTATATCCCAGCCAGAATAGTCATCATGCCTTACACTTGCTCTATGCTTGCCTGCCTCTGTGCCTGGAAGGCTCTTCGCCCTCATTTTTCCATGCCCGGCCCTTATTCATCTTTAAAATCCAGATCAAGTGAAACCTTCTTTAGAAAGTAATTCCTGATCTCACAAGCTGATTCAAGCTTTCTTTTGTCCAAATTTTTTAGAATTTTACCTTTGCTCTGTGATGTTCTGTTTTATATTATGATTGGTTTTATATGTATTTTCTTCTGAGTGATTTATAAACTCTTTGGTGGAAAGACTGAGTCTTGTATATATTTATATTTTTTAGTGAATAAAACACAGTGCCTTAAACATAGTAGACAACAAGTCTTCTCCAAATTGTCAAATCAAAATTAATATGCTACAAGATACAGAATTATAAACTCAATACTGTCTATACATTAATTACTGGACATCTACCATCTACCAAATATGTTCGGAGACATTTTCCAACATTTAATGGTACTTTCTAATATTTTTGTGGTTTGAAATTTTAATATTCAACTATTAAATATTTGTGGAATTTATTTTTTATTTATAAAGTGAGAAAATGACCTAAAGAGATTTATTTCTAAAGAGAACCTAAAGAGAACCTAAAGAGAAATTTCAGTAACATTTTTCAACTGAAACTTCTCCATGTATGTGCATTATTTTTTTCATTGGTATATTAGATTCTTATATATAACTATTATTATGTTCTCTTCTAGTTATTTGTCTACCTCCTTGTGGGGACACTACAATCGTGGTTTTATATTGTGTTGTTTTATGGAAATATGGACTATTAATTTTTATTCTGAAAAGGAAATACATTTACAAAGTTCACAATTCAAAAGGATTTATAGTAAAGTTTTCCTCTCATCCATTTACACCCCCAAAGCAACTGATGTTATTAGTTTATAGTGTATTAGCATAGTTCTCTGCTGCAGAGAGAGGTCCCGGAAAAAGTGTGTTGCTGGTCCACTGCAAAATGCAGAGGGTTTTATAGATGAGCTGGTGAAGAGGTAGTGTCTGATTTATATAAGTCATGGACAAACTGGTTAGACCAGGTGTGTCATTTGCATAGGGTGTGAATTTCTGGTGGCCCCACCCTAATCTTTTATTCTTCAGGTGAGTTCTCTGCCTGAGCTGCGTCATAGTGCTCATTTCTCTGTTACTGTGCATGTGATAACAAAACCACGGAAGATAGACCCTCTATGTGTACATGCCTGGCCCCCAGGTAGCCTTTTTTTTCTTTTGTTTTTTTTTTTTTGAGACTGAGTTTTGCTCTTTTTGCCCAGGCTGGAGTGCAATGACGTGATCTCGCTTCACCGCAATCTCTACCTCCCAGGTTCAAGTGATTCTCCTGCCTCAGCCTCCCAAATAGCTGGGATTACAGGCATGTGCCACCATGCCCGGCTCATTTTTTGCCTTTTTTTTTTTTTTTTTTTAGTAGAGACGGGGTTTCTCCATGTTGGTCGGGCTGATCTCAAACTCCCGACCTCAGGTGATCCGCTTGCCTCGCCCTCCCAAAGTGCTGGGATTACAGGCGTGAGCCACCGCGCCCGGCTCCAGGTAGCCCTTTACTATTGGCACAGCTGCCAGCATTCTCCCGCACTTTCAGCTTGCTAATCTATGTTTGCAGCTCGATTTTTCAGGCTGCTTTTTGTTAGAAAAAAAAAATAATTTATTGGGCTGCTTTTTGTTAGAAGGGAAGCTCTGCTGAGGACTCTGTTGCCCCCATTATCTGCTTACTAAATTTCTTTCTACCTCCTGTATCAATATTTTATGTATAATTAAGTATATGTATATTCTTTACTTGCCTTTTGCAAATTTTCTGTTTATTTAATACTCTGCTGTTTTGGCTATGTATTGTGCTTTCTACCAATGTAAAATGCCTCTTCATGTTGCTTGATGCTTTATACGTGGCATTTTATTGTAAATAGTTTAAATAAATTTTATAATACATTACTTGAAATTCTGTTTAATATACAAACTCCTTAGTGAAAAAGGGAAAAGAGAGAGGAATTATTTACACTTTGATAGAGCATTTTAAAACGAGATGTTAATTCTAATGAATTTTCCACGAGAAAGTGATCTTACTGATTGTTTCCTTATTGCATGTGCAGTAGATTCTAGGTTAAGTTGAGCTATTCATATTTCCTCAAACAGGTAGACAGGGAACAAGCACCCGTGTACAGGCACAGAAGAAAACAGGACATGACAGAGCATGCTGCACCGCACAGCCTGGAGTGCATGAGGGTGCGTGACCGCAGAGAAAGCCTTACAGGACAGATTGAAATTCTCCACTTTTGATTTCATAACTAAACATCTCAGTATAATATCAGATAATGACATTTATTTTTCCAGGCCATTATTTAAGTGGAGCTGGGTTTAAGGTTTGGAGTATTGTTAAGGAACAAAATGCCCGTGGTAGGCCCAAAGAAGTCTGTTTTTGCCTTACAGCTGGATTTTCATAAAAATATAGTTACAATTAAGGTCGAGATTATTCAGTTTGAACACTCAGTCTCTTAAGTTTGTCTGGAAACACATTTGTCTCTCTGTAGCTGTTTAGTAAAAGTATATTGTTTTACATGCCCATATCAAGAATAAGTTAATCCATCATCTTAATACAGTAAAGGCAGATATGTTGAAGTGAAACTACAAGAACCCCACCATTTCATAAACATTACCATGTTTTCTTTCTCAGTCACCTGCTGAAAGATAACCAGGGACCATGGCATATACTGGGTGGTCTGCCTGAATCTTTATTTCTGAATTTTAAAAAATAGCGTGAAGCTTTTAGGGGCTTCTGAAATGAAATCCTTTCTTTTGATCCTCCTGTCTTCTTAGTAGGTGTGTATGAAAGTACTTTGTAAAAAATAACTATATACCAGTGAGACAAATAAGAATGGAAAATTTCAGAGAGTTAGACATCAAGCTCTTTCTTCAGCACATGCTCTGGAAAGCACTTTTAGATTTACTACTAGATACTGGTAAGGCAGATCAAATTCTTATCAATAATTTGAATCTTAATTATACCATTTACTAGTTGCATGACTTTGGGCATGTTATCTAAGCCTCCTGTGCCCCATCTGTGAAGTGGAGGTAGCAATTCCTCAGAATTATGGTAAGGTTTAAATGACGTATTATATTCAAAGCACTTTGCACTCATTAAAGATATTATGAGCAGATGCTCAATAAAGTGAATCCATTAACATTTTAATGCGTTACTTCAAGGTTTTTTTGTGGCTAATAATGTTTTTTTGTGTCCAATAGAAAAATGGGTGGCTCAGCACCACCAGATAGCAGCTGGAGAGGAAGTCTCAAAGTGCCCTACAATGTTGGACCTGGCTTTACTGGAAACTTTTCTACACAGTTAAGAGACTATTTTAATTTTAACTCTTTTAAGGGGGAGACTTAAAGAAAAAAATACTATAGAGGATGACAGAAAAAGTAAAATTTATGTAATACCAGCAGGAAACAAAACTGCAAGTTAGAACCAGTGTAATTTTTGCCTGTGAACAATTAGAAATCTTTAAGCAAGATTGAAGATTTAAAAATTATGAGTGTTGCTGGAACTCAGAAAATGAATAACCCAAAGTATGGTGTTTTGACATGCTGAGCACTTTGAACTAAAGGATAAAAGTCCTTAGATGCAGCTTCAGAATCAATAATTCTGACCTCTTACTTCACCCCACAAGAGCAGAGTGTAAGTTTCTCTCTGAAGTTCCCTTATCTGAAGCTCCTGCAGAAGGAAGACAATGACTTTCCTTCCCCTCCCTGAAATTTTATTAACCAGGGAAGATTGAACTCATGTAGTGGGAAGGAAGACTGAGGCATATCACTTTATCTGCACAGGCTTTGTCACAAGCTGTTGACTGTTCTCTAGTTCCATTCAAGTTCCAAAGAGAATTATTTATAAACTATTGCCTGCTCTTTGGGCCCATTTAACTCTCTTGAAAACCATTTACCACCCCTCAAAACCACCTGCACTCCCCCACTTCCCCCTCCTCTATGAAGAGGGTGCTAGTTAAACTTTAGCCATTTGGCCTTTGTTTGAGTCTCATATTTTGTTTGGCTCCTGTATACACTGGTGTGTTAGTAAGTTTGTATGCCTTTTCTCCTGTTAATCAGTTTTCAGTTTATTTTACCAGACTTGAACCTTCAAAGGCAGAGGGGAAAATTCCCTTAAACCTTATAGTGTTAATCTGTTAACCAGTTTTTTTTTTTAAGAATGTCTTTTATTTTTGCATTAGAAAAGTCAAGATGCACATCCACTCTACCAATGAAGTGACAAGAATTTACAATGTGATAGGTACTCTCAGAGGAGCAGTGGAACCAGGTAAAGGAATCGTTTGCTTAGCAAATATTGATCAAGTAACTGTTATGTGCTGGATACTACCAAGCTCTGGGAGTGCAAAGTGAATCAAAACAAACAAACAAACAAACAAACGAAGAAAATCGGTGGAACTCACCTAAAAACAAAGGAAATAAGTATGAAATAATTTTGTATTGTGGTACAGGTGGTGAATAAAAGTGAATGTTTGGTGCTAGGCTGGGCAGATGACCAAGGTGAATGATAAATTGTGCAGGCCTCAATTAAAGGATCAAGGGAAGCAGGGTAGGGAAAGATGTGTTTTCTTCCGAGTTTTCTGAATTTTTTTTTACCATATTTTTGCATAAATATCTTCATGATAACTATAAACATCTATATAAAATATCACACTCTTAGAAAATTAAGATAATCTTGTATTAATGAATCCTTTCATAGTTTTATTTTCTACCACTAAAGCCACTGATAAAATATATGGACATATGATTTCCATAGAAGTTCAGATGATCTACTGATTAATACATTTTATACATAGTCTTAGTTCATGAAGGCTCAGTTTCTTATGAACTATTTTGTTCTGTATTTCTTACCAAAACAGATACTATTAAATGCATATTAAACATATTAATTGCATGTTTCTTACAAGCAGCCAGTGATTTATTTTAGATCAAGAATATTGATATCCTTGTTGTTTGCATATTCTAAAGAGTACTAAACAATATATAAGTGGCTACTGTTGAATAATACCGAGTACCTATTTTGTGCCAGTTCCATGATAAGCATTGGAAATGGGGAGATAAAAGAAGACACAGACCCAAGACAAACAACTGACAGTTTGTGAAGGGAGCCATATGCTTAAGGGTGATCAATGCTTTATCACTCCTGAGAGCTGGGTAGGCAAAGAAATTCCCTCTTCTATAGAAAATACTTGAGCTGTACTTTAAAAACTGCATAGAGGGAGAAAATATTTGAGCTGTACCTTAAAAACTGAATGGAGGGAGAAAATATTTGAGCTGTACCTTAAAAACTGAATAGAAAGAATAGGAATTGGAGAACTTCCTATGTGGCCACTATGTTCTCTTACTTTGAATATATTAGAAAGTGGTAAGTTAGGTAAGAGAAGTAATAGAGTTACAAAAAATGTGAACAAGGATAACCTTAAACTTTCTTAATTACTTAATGTAGTACTTATAATTATAGTAATACATTGAAATATATATTTGCTTTATCACATTTATGCTTTCTCAGATAGAAGAAACACATATTAAAATCAGAAATAACATATTTTCACAAATCTTGGGGAACCTAGCCTTTTTTTTTTTTCTGAGGCGTGAGTGCTTTGTATTTAGATGCTATTGAGTCATTTGCAATTTTCTCTTTTATTGACCTGAAATGACAAATAATCTTGTATCTATGCTTTCTAGACAGATATGTCATTCTGGGAGGTCACCGGGACTCATGGGTGTTTGGTGGTATTGACCCTCAGAGTGGAGCAGCTGTTGTTCATGAAATTGTGAGGAGCTTTGGAACACTGAAAAAGGAAGGTAATACAAACAAACAGCAAGAAAAAAAACAGCCTATCTGAGTCTCAGTTTAGTCTTCTGTAAAGGGAGTATAAAAATACTACCTCAACCATTACATGTGTTTGGTAAAAATACTAATACAATTTTCAGTGTTGGTTGGTTAATTATATTGTTTATTTATTTTTGCATTTATTTATATAACACATATATTATTGATATTTATGTATTAAGTGATAATCTGAAATAAAGGAATTATACTGTTAATGGTTGTTCTTGGCAACTAAGAAGATGAAGATGGGTTACATCACTAGAGAAAACACACTGAAATTAGATTATAAGCCAAAGCTTCCTAGTCAGAGACTGTAAGCAGACGTTCCTCCGTCTCTTCTAACCCCAGACCTCAGATTACGTGTACAAAGTAATTAAGGAGATAGATGCTCTATTCAGAGAAATACAGGTCTTAGGTCTAATGGGATTCTGTCAAAAGTTTGGAATCTGTGTTCTCACATCCTGAGCCCTGGTGTGCTCTCACAAAAATTAGGTTTACACTCGTAACATCACCACTTTAGTCATTTTAGAATCTTCATATGAAAGCCAAAGTAAAATTTAGTTCAAATGTTTGCTTTTTAAAATAATAATTACACATTGAGAGCAGGAAGTTCATTCTCTTTATTGACCCTGCAAACAAGGTGTCTGGGGCTGTAAAATGTAATCTATATATTTTTATCAACCATAAAAACAATAATGTATGTTGTTTGCATAGTATTTACTTTTTTTTTGAGAAACTTTTTATATGTCCTATCTTCTTTGAAGTCATAGCAACTAGGGAGAAGACATATTTACTTATCTTCTCATGTTACAGATAGGTTAACCAAGGTTTAGAGAATCAAGTAATTTCCCCAGGATTATGTAGCTAGCATGTGGCAGCATAAGAGAATCAGGGCTGAAACTCAAATTTCTCACTACCAGTCCTCAAAACCATGATGTCTCTATTTAAAATAAAATGTAAAGGCGCTCAGTTCTTTTTTCTACACAGCTATCTTATATTTGAAGAAAACAAACAATGGAGACCTAAATTTACATAATTCATGAAGTAGGTAGTGTTTAATTTTATTACAAAAATGTTTCATGATTTTTCTAGGAAATTCCTGTGGTAACTATACAAAACATCACTGTGACAATTACAGAATATGCCAAAGAAATGGAATGCTGATGAATAATAATAGGAAATTTGAATAATACTATTGACAAAAACAAAAGACTCGAGTTAACAGCTATAGTATACACATTCTTAAGCACACATGAATATTTACTAAGATGATGACTACTCGCAATTTTGAAAGCACCTACTCAGTGCTTTCTAAACATTATTCCATTTAATCCTCCCACAATCAAGTGGTGTCTTCATCTTTACTCTCTTGTTCCTTGTATACAGATGAAGAAATGGAAGTTTAGTAGGTTTGAATAACTTTCCCTCAGTCACGCTGCTAGTGAGAGAACCAGGGTTTGAAACAAGATCTTGCCTTAACTCCAAGGTCAGTGTTTATAACCTCCGAGACACATCACCCCTCTGCTGAATTATGTGGTTTTCAGCAACAGCAAACATTGCTGTTGCTAACTGAGCCCTTGTTGATTAATTCTGGCAGAGAATGGTGTGAAATCATACGGACCAGCTGATATTGAACAATTGTTCATTTGATGTCAGAACAACAGGAAAGAGTTCTAAAGGATTTTCTTTCAGTTATATCTGCTTTCAGAATACCAAATGCATCTAGAAATTTCTTTCTTTGTTCTAGGCAGTTGCAGACCACCAATGACTTCCTATGCATAGCGAATCATTATAAACCTATTAGAATGTTTTATGATCTTGCAAGATTTTTACTGTCACATGTCCCCCCTTTTCTATGTAATTGTGCTATTTTGTATTGACAACTTTAAAATCTTACAAAAAAAGTTACGTAAGTAAAGATTTTTTACTACAATTTGCCCTTCCCAAACCATCAATGACTTTTTTTTTTTTTTTTCCAATCTGGGCTTGGTAGTGTCCTGGGTATATTATGAATTTTTTTTCTATCATTTATATATACACATACATTTTAGGGTGGAGACCTAGAAGAACAATTTTGTTTGCAAGCTGGGATGCAGAAGAATTTGGTCTTCTTGGTTCTACTGAGTGGGCAGAGGTTAGTTGGTAATTTGCTATAATATAAATTTTTATAAAATAAAGTAGCCAGGACTTATTTGCCAAGCACATAAAAATAAGAAGTGAATATAATGAGAAAGTATTCAAAGTTTTTTCCCCAAAATCTGAAGTAACATATTCTTGTTCAAAAATCAGCAATAAAAATCTCTGTTGCTAAAGAACTAAGTTTTGTTTGAACCTTTTAGAGCCACTTAATGTCAATTGTCAAAATTAATTTATCTTTATTTCCTGGGAGTATGAGAGTAAATAAGTAGATATGCTAGAAACCAAACATCAAAACAAGGAGTTAGTTTCTTAATCATATTGTAGTTTATTCTTCAAAATATTGTCTTAGCAAACATGAACGACTTAACAGACTTTTCAGTGAATATCTTGCCATAAACATGTCATTTAAATGGAGAATCTTGTCTGATTCAAAGGGAATTAAGCTATTTCAAATTTATGAAAAATATGAAGTTAAATTGTCTCTATTTCCTGACCATGAAGCCAAATTTTCCTGTATCATGTTTGATTTCTATCATGATTCTATTACGCTTTCCAAAATATCTCCTAAAGCTAACTATACAGAGTCTCGCTCTGTTGCCCAGGCTGGAGTACAGTGATGTGATTTCTGCTCACTGAAGCGTCAGCATCCCGGGTTCAAGCAATTCTCCTGCCCTAGGCTCCTGAGTAGCTGGGATTACAGGCATGTGCCACCACACCTGGCTAATTTTTTTATGTTTAATAGAGACAGGGTTTTGCTGTGTTGGCCAGGCTGGCCTCAAACTCCTGAGCTTAAGTGATATGCCTGCCTCGGCCTCCCAAAGTGCTAGGAATACAGGCGTGCGTCACCATGCCTGGCCGTAAGGTATACTTTTCATTTATCTTTCTTAATTCATAATGACCTGCTCTATGTTAAATTATGCTAAAAGTAAGGCAGAAATTTCCACCACAGAATATTTACTAAGCCATTTGAAAAGTAATTTTACCTGCATGTATTGTTGGCTTTATATAACAGAAACGTTAGCTATAAAGTAAATATATGCAAAGTCAATGTTTATTCCATTAATTTCCAGTCATGCTGTAAATATTTACTGGCTCCTTTCATACTCCAGATATTATGTGAAACCCTGTGGACTTTAATTTTCTTTGAAAAAAAAAATGGTGCTCCTGTAGACTTAGTCAAAGTTTTATAAGAAAGAATTTTGCCACTATCTGGAAGAACCTAATATTTTGACGGTGTAATTTGTGTCTTTCAAATTATTTTTTTCACTTACAGTTGTATTTTTTTCATTTTTTATCTTATAGTCAGAATGCTTAGGAAATTATGTATTTTAGAGACTCAGAATTCACATTGATATCTCAAAAAAACTTTGCTACGCTTTGTTCTAAAAGTGTGCAATTATCAATATTGACCAGGAGATGGTACCATCCTACAGGAGAGCCTGACTTCTGGTCAGGAGATGATTTAAGTTCACTTATTTTTCGTAACATGAAATTTAACTTAAAATTTCATACACTTAAAATACCTTCATTCCATATGAATCAGACAAGATTCTCTGCTTAAATAATGAGATGTTTATAGGAAGATTTTCACTGAAAAGTCTCTTAGGTCATTCATGTTTGCTAAGACAACTTTTTGAAAGATAAACTACAGTATGGTTAAGAAATTAACTCATTTTCCACTTACCATAAGTATATGGACAATTTCATCTTAAATATTAGCTTTTAACAAGTTTTGCTTGTTGTTTCCTACGAGTAATCTTTATTGAAATTCTTTCAAAGCAGCTCTTTTATGAGAATTTCTTATGTCAAATTTGTCGTTAATATGGGTCAGCTCAATTAGAAATCTACATACATTAAATGTAGATGTGCATTTTGTGGGGGAGGGGGAGTGGGTTATAACTTTATATTTATAGTTTTCCTTTTTATTATAGGAGAATTCAAGACTCCTTCAAGAGCGTGGCGTGGCTTATATTAATGCTGACTCATCTATAGAAGGTGAATATCGTTGGTCTCATAAGAAAAGATGTGATTAAACTAGGAGCAGCAGTCTAGTTAATAAATTATGCACTAACAAGGAAGGCTATGCATTAATGTGTGGTTAGGGAATCTACTGCAACCTCTGACAGGAAGCAGTGTATGAACCCTAGTTGAGAGTTGGGTGAGCCCTAGGTGAACAGGTGTTTCTTTTCTTCTTTCCTTTCCTTTTGTTTTCTTTTCTCTTTTCTTTTCTTTCTTTTCTTACTTTTTTTTTGCTTTGAAGTATAGAGTACTAATTCAGAAAAGCAGCATTCTTTGATTAGCTTCATCTGGCAGATTTCTTTTTATATACAGCAGGAATTTAGTAAGTATCTGTTGAATGATTAACTCAGGGACCTAAAGAGTTCTATAATTTAGAATGGTGTAGAAAAAAAGTATCATTTGTGGGGTGCGGTGGCTCACGCCTGTAATCGCAGCACTTTGGGAGGCTGAAGCGGGTGGATCACTTCAGGTCAGGATTTCGAAACCAGCCTGGCCAACATGGTGAAACCCCATAGCTATTACAAATGCAAAAATTAGCCGGGCGTGGTGGCGCACTCAGTATAGATAATATACTAAATCAATCTTGAATTATAATGTATGCAGGTACTTTAGAAAGGGTAGGATAAAACCACTCTGGGAGTTCAGAGGAAAGAATAATAGAAACTTCAGGAAAGGCTTGAGAAAGGGAATAGGCATTTGAGGCTGACTTTGAAGAATGGAAATATATTTAATAAGCAAAGGACCAAACTAAAGGAAATCTCAGATTGATTTTCATGAAAATGAAAGAGTCCATTTTCACTACAATCCAGCTCCACTAATATATCTATATCTTGACCATATGCAACATCCCAGCCATTGCTCTCCTGTTCTCTACACTCAGATTGCTCTTCAACACCTCTTTATGTGTTTAATCCTTATCCTTAGACCCTCCTTTGAAATGTTACTTTTTCAGGGAAGACATGTCTTCATGGCACTCATCACTGTCATTATTAAGTAATTATTTGTTTTACAAGTAATAGACTGTATTCTTTAACAAGGAACAGACAGTATCTTGCTTATTCACTCCTAGATTCCTAACGTCTTATTAAATAAATATTTGTGGTATGGTTGCAAAAAAAAAAAAAAAGGACTAAATGAATGAAGGGGGAATTTTTTAGAATATTTTCTTTAGTGTATTAGTAAATTTGCCATGTCAACACTTGGAACATGAGACCTTGATGGAGTCACGTTGGCATTTTCTTTTTCTGGTTTTTTTGTGTGTGTTTTTTTGTTTCTGTTCTTTTTCTGTTTTTTGTTTGTTTGTTTTTTTTTTCTGTTTCTGTTCTTCTTCTGTTTTTTTGTTTGTCTGCTTGTTTGTTTTGAGTCAGGGTCTCACTCCGCAGCCCAGGTTGGAGTGCGTGGAGCGATCATGGCTCACTAGTCTTGATTTCCCAGGCTCAAGTGATCCTCCAACCTCAGCCTCCTTGGTAGCTGGGACTACAGGCAAACGCTAGACATCCAGCTAATTTTTGTATTTTTAGTGGAGATGACATTTGACCATATTACCCAGGTTGGTCTCAAACTCCTGGGCTCAAGCTGTCTATCCACATTGTTCTCCCAAAATGCTAGGATTACGGGTCTGAGCCACAGCTCCCAACCTTCCTTTTCTTCTTTGTCAATGCCTCTGAGCTACACTGTTCTGAAAGTTAGTTTACACAGTGCATTTGGTTATTCTTTTCTCCTTCTCTTAGGGTAGTGGCTAAGAGCTTGACCTTTGGCGTCAGATGCCTGGATTCATTCCTGGCCCTGCAACTTCCTATTTGTGTGACCCAAGCTACTTACTTTCTGTGCCTCAGTTTTCTCACTTCTAAATATAACTTCTAAGAGCTCCTATCTCAAAGGCTCCTGTAAGGGCAAAAAAAGTTACATTTGCAAATCTCCCAGACCTGTGCCTTGCACAGAGTAAATGTCAAAAAAAGTTAACTTTGATTAGTATCATTACACCTACTTAAAACACATAAGGTGAAATATATACATGTATATATATGTATATTATATGCCCACCCAGAATAAATACTCCAAATATATTTTCTTGAAACATAGAATAACGTTCTCTTTATTGATAGTTTTTTTCTGTTTTTTTTTGTTGTTGTTGTTGTTGTTATTGTTGTTTTGAAATGAGATCTTGTAGTATTGTCCAGGATAGTTTCAAACTCCTGAGCTCAACTGATCCTCCCCCGTCAGCCTCCCAAGTAGCTGGGAAAACAGGTGTGTGGCACCATACTTGGCCATAGTTTTTTAAGATTTGATATTTTAATGTATTTTAAAAACTCATTAAGCTTTGCTACTTATGTCATCCCTGGCTTGAAATTGCTCCATTGTGTCTCTATAATTTTCAAAATCGAGAACAAAGGACAGGAGGTACTATATGATTGGGACACCATTCATCTCACTTGTTTTATATTTTTACATTGTATTAATGTTTCTTTCTCAAATAATACAAATAATCATAGATTCTGAAATTTCTAATGTTAAAATGTAAAATGTACAAATAAAGCGAAACTCCCCAATGCAAACTACTCTCAAACTTAGTCCTCTCTCCAAAGGTATTACTGTCCTCAGTTTTGGGTGTTTCCATCATGTTGGCATTAATATATAGAATTTAGCTTCACAAAGCACCAAGAGCGTAGTGGGTGCTATCTCAGGTGCTTTACACGTAAAAAAATTATTCAGTACTCACAATAACTCTCTGAGATAAGTAAGTAAATATTTTTATTATCCCTTTTGTATAAAAGAAGAAACTGACACTCAGAGAGGTTAAGTAATTTTCCCAAGGCCACACAGCTAGTGAAGGGTTGAGCTTAGACTCAAATCAGACTGGTCTGTTCCAACTTTACCCCTCTAACCACTACACTCTATTGTCTCTCACCACCTTATACAGGTATTTGGTATCATATTACAGCTAAATGCTTCTACAACTTGCCTTTTTCATTCAGCAACACATTATGAAAAACTTTCCATATCAGCACATATCTCGGTTTCACTTAAAAAACAAACACTACCACCAGACAACAAAAATCTACAATGTATTCAATAGGACAAATTTTGTATCAGTTTTCTAGCTGCTGGACAGCTTGCTTCAGTTTGTTGTGGTTAATATTATTTTATTTGCATGCTTTTTTGGTATAATGTGAGGAGAGGGTAGAGAGCTACAAGTATATTTATTTGGTCTTCAGATGTGGGCAATTAAATTGTAATAAATGCTGCCAAACTACTCCACTCCCCAATTTCCACTCTTATAAGCACTTCTGTTTTAAAAATTACATTGGCTGTTTGTACATATTTATTCTTCCAGATAAATTTTAGAATCTAAAATCAAATCTTTAAGTTCCATAAACAATTCTGTTGTGGTGTCACTATTTTAAAAGCCTCAACTTTTGCTGTTCTCAAACATGGATCCGAGGCTTTGGGATAAAAGCTAGTTGCCATCCTCTGAGTGTTTCATGTGCTTTTACATTTCTGGGCATTCGCACAGGCTATGCCTTTAGCTGCAAATACCATTTTTCCCCCCAACTGTGTCCTGGTTCTAGAAAACCCAGTTCAAGAGTCCCCTCTCCAAGTTTGTGAATTTGTCTTGACTTCCCTCCCCCAAAACTCCTCCTGAGTCAGCAGCCCCTCCCTGTGCTGTGTTGGCTTCCCAAGAACACCTCTCCTGGGTGCTTCACTTGATTGTCACAACCACCAGCCCCCTCCTGAGGAATGGGGACTGAAACTCTAAGAAGAGCACCTGGTTCACAAATTCATTGTTACAACAAATATTGATTGGTTAAATGCCAGATTCTAGGATTGTTCTAAACACTTGGGGTATGGCAGCAAACAAGAGAGTGCACCTTATCCCAGGGGACTTATCGTCTAGTGGGAGGGCCAATAATAAAAAGACAAGTACTTAATATGTTTTATGTTAAATAGATGAGTAATATAGAGAAACAAGAGCCAAGGTTAAAAGAGAGAGTGGCTAAAATTAGGGGGTAAGAGAGTGCTATTTTAGGTAGGGTGATCAGGGGAAATCTCTCAGAAAAACATGACATTAGACCAGAGGAGGAGGAGTAAGTCATGCAGATATAATGCAGAATACTGTTCCAGGCTGGAAGGACAGTGTGTGCAAAGATGCTGAGGGAGTATTCTTGGGCAGAATGTAAAATGCAGATTTTGAGAGGTGACCTAGGGTTTCATATATGGCAGTGTGGGCCATGGTGAGAATGATGGACTTTACAGAGTTAGTTGGGAAGCCATTGGAGAGTTACAGTTGAAATCAGGTTTTAAAACAATCATTCTGGTAGGAATTTAGCAGTGGTCTTTGAAGAAAATAATAACAGAAAGAAATTAAATTTTAAAATCTATTCTTTTCTTATTTTTCAGGAAACTACACTCTGAGAGTTGATTGTACACCGCTGATGTACAGCTTGGTACACAACCTAACAAAAGAGGTATATAATTACATATAATTTAAGAAAACCCAAATTCTACAAATGATGTTTTCTTGAGGTATTATGTTAAACATAGGTGGTGTTTTATAACTTCTTGTCTTCATTTCATATAACATATATGACATCACATCTTCACAGACCATCACATCTAGTAAACTGTTTACACAGATTGCCTCATTTCTCACCACACCAGTGTGAGGTAGCCCATTAGTAGCATCATGTCTACCATCTCCATTCTTAAAACAGTGAAACTGAGCTCAAAGAACATTGGCCACCAAAGTCACACACAACTTGTACGGTAGCCGAACCAAGACTTGGTCCTATGGCTCAACTCCTTAATTAAAAAACTTGTTTATACTCTTCAGTATAGTGATACCAATTAATTCAGAACACAGGAATCATTAAATGTTCTAACTGATTGAGAAAGAATATTCATAAGAATACCAGGTGCTGGCTTCCAGGGACAGAGGCTAGATGAGATCACAATTACATTTTTTCAGATAGGGATTATAAATAAAATTTAAATGCCATTAAGCTTTGGTTTCAAAAGAATGGAATGGAGGAGTGACCAAGATGACTGACTAGAAGCAACTATGGTGTGTGGCTCTCACAAAGAGAAATTGAAGGGGCAAGTAAATACAGCACCTTCAACTGAAACGAGCAGATACTCACATTGGGACTAATCAAGGAAACAACCCAACCCAAGGAGAATGGAGAAAAGCAAGGCAGGACGATGGCCCACCTGGGAATGACACAGAGTCAAGGGAACCTCCCCCACCCAGGAAAATGATGAGCGAATGTGCAACCCCAGGAAACCATGCTTTTTCCATGGATCTTTGCAACGCTTAGGTCAGCAGATACCCTTGTGAACCCACTCCACCAGGGCCTTCAGTCTGATACACAGGTGCATGGAGTCTTAGCAGAACAGCCACTCAGGCATGCACAGAGACACAGGAGCTTTAGATACACCAGCTTTCCAGGCTTCATGGCAAAAGTAACTGCAACTCCAGCACAGCAGGAGGTTAGACCCCCATACATACCCATAAAAAAGAGGCTGAATTCAAGGGCCTGAGCAGTGATGGTCTGCAGGCCCCACTTCCACAGCACTTCACAGGATAAGACCCACTGGCTTGGATTTCCAGCCAGCCACTGGTAGCAGTGTTGTGCCTATCTGGGAAAGAGCTCTTGGGTGGTGGTGGGGGGCAGGGAGGTGGGGGTGGAGGGGTGGGCTGCCATCTTTGCTGTTTGGGTGGCTTAGCCATTCCCACCTTTAGGCTTTGGAGAGCCCAAGATGACTGGGGGTGGAAGCGGTACCCCAGCACAGCACAGTGGCCTCACAAAAACGTGGCCAGACTTCCTTATAAAGCAGATCCCCAACTACGTTCCTCATCAATGGGTGGAGCCTCCCAACTAGGGTTTCTGGCTACCCCCACTGGTGTTCTCTGGCTAACAGAGGTTTTAGGACACCCTGGGATGGAGCTGCCAGGAGGAGGGGCAAACCACCATCTTTGCTGTTTGGGTGACTTAGCCATCCCAGGTTTCAGACTTCGGAGTGTCCAAGACAACCGAGGGCTGAAGTGGACCCTCACCACAGCACAGTTGCTCTACAAAAACGTGGCCAGGCTACTTTTTAAACTGGGTCCCTGATCCTTTTCCTCCTGTCTGGGTAAGACCTCCTAGTGGGGTCTCCAGCCACCTCCTACAGGTCTGTTCAGGCTGGCAACATGTCTATAACTCCCTTGGACGGAGGTCCTACAGTAAGAAGCAGGCTGCATTCTTTACTGTTTCACAGCCATCACCGATGATTCCTCCAGGTACTGTAAAATCTGAGGCAACTAGCGATTGGAGTCGACCCCCCAGCACAACACAGCAGCCCTGCAGAAAAGTGGCTAGACTGTTTAAAAAAAAAAAAAAGAAAAGAAAAAAAAGGACAAGCTCCACTCAAAGGTCACCAACCTCAAAGATTGAAGGCAGATAAGCCCACAAAGATGAGAAAGGATCAGTACAAGAACATTGAAAACTCAAAATGCCACAGTGCCCTCTTTCCTCCAAATGACTGCATCACTTCTCCAGCAAGGTTTCGGAACCGGGTTGAGGCTGAGATGCCTGAAATGACAGAAGTAGAATTCATAATATGGATAGGGACAAAGTTTACTGAGGTAAAGGAGCGTGTTGTAACCCAATTCTAGGAAGCTAAAAATCATGTTAAAACATTGCAGGAACTGACAGTAAAATGAGCCAGTTTAGAGAAGAATAGAGCTGAAAAATACTACAAATGCTGTCACAAGTATTGATAGCAGTATAGACCAAGTGAAGGAAAGAATCTTAGAGTTGAAGACTGTCTTTCTGAAATAATACAGGCAGACAAGAATAGAGAAAAAGGAATGAACAAAACCACCAAGAAATATGTGATTATGTGAAGAGACTGAATCTATGACTGATTGGTGTACTTGAAAGAGATAGGAAGAATGGAACCAGCTTGGAAAACATATTCCAGGATATAATCCATGAGAACTTTCCCAACATAGCTAGATAGGCCAACATTCAAATTCAGGAAATGCAGAGAACCTCAGTAAGATACTACTTGAGAAGATCATCCCCAAGACACATACTCATCAGATTCTCCAAGGACAAAATGAGAGAAAAAATGTTAAAGGCAGCTAGAGGGAAAGGCCAGGTTACCTACAAAGGGAAGCCCATCAGCCTAACAGTGGACCTCTCAGCTGAAACCCTGCAAGCCAGAAGAGATTGGAGGCCAATGTTCAACATTCTTAGAAAAAAGAAATTCCAATCCAGAATTTCATATCCGACCACATTAAGCTTTATACGTGAAGGAGAAATAAGATTCTTTCAAGACAAGCAAATGCTGAGGGAATTTGTTACCACCAGACCTGTCTTAACAAGAGTTATTGAGAGAAGTACTAAATATGGACAGGAAAGACTATCACCATCCACGACAAAAACACACTGAAGTACACAGACCAGTGATACTATAAAGCAATCACATAAGTCTGCAGAATAACCAGCTAACATCATGATGACAGGATCAAATCCACACATTTCAATTCTAATCTTATATGTAAATGGTCTAAATACACCAATTAAAATACATAGAGTGGCAAGCTGGATAAAGAACCAGGACCTATTGGTATCCTGTCTTCAAGAGACCCTTCTCATATGCAATGACACACATAAGTCAAAATAAATAGATGAAGGAAAGTCTACCAAGCAAATAGAAAACAGAAAAATGCAGGAGTTGCAATTCTAGTTTCTGACAAAACAGACTTTAAACCAACAAAGATAAAAAAAAAGACAAAGAAGGGCATCACGTAACGGTAAAGGATTCAATTCAACAAGAAGAGCTTACTGTCCTAAATATATATGCACATAACACAGGAGCACCCAGATTCATAAGGCAAGTTCTTAGAGACCTTCAAAGAGACTTAGACTCCCACACAATAATAGTGGTAGACTTTAACAGCCTATTGAAAATATTAATTAATTTTCAAGACATAAAATAACAAAGATATTCATGGCCTAAACTGAGTACTGGATCAAATGGACCTGATAGATATCTACAAAATTCTCCACCCAGAAACAACAGAATAGACATTCTTCTCATCAGCCCATGGCACTTACTCTAAAATTGATCACATAATTGGAAGTAAAACACTCCTCAGCAAAAGCAAAAGAAATGAAATTAAAAACGTCTCTTGTACTGCCGTGCAAATTCAAAATCAAGAGTAAGAAATTCACTCAAAACTATGCAATTCCATGGAAATTGAATAACCTGCTCCTGAATGACTTGTGGGTATATAATGAGATAAAAGCAGGAATCAAGAAGTTCTTTGAAACTAATGAGAACAAAGATATGACACACCAGAATCTCTGGGACACAGCTAAGGCAGAATTAAAAGGGAAATTTATAGCACTAAATGCCCACATTAAAAGTTAGAAATATCTGGCCAGGTGTGGTGGCTCACACCTGTAATCCCAGCACTTTGGGAGGCCGAGGAGGGCAGATCACAAGGTCAGGAGATCGAGACCATCCTGGCAAACACAGTGAAACCCCGTCTCTACTAAAAATACAAAAAATTAGCCAGACGTGGTGGCGGGTGCCTGTAGTCCCAGCTATTCGGGAGGCTGAGGCAGGAGAATCGCTTGAACCCGGGAGGTGGAGGTTGCAGTGAGCTGAGATCACGTCACTGCACTCCAGCCTGGACAACAGAGAGAGACTCCGTCTCAAAAAAAAAGAAAAAAACATTAGAAAGATCTCAAGTTAACAGCCTAGTGTCAAAACTAAATATACTAGAGAACAAAAGCAAACAAACCCCAAAGCTAGCAAAAGACACAAAGTAACCAAGACCACAGCTGAACTGAAGGTGTTGGAGACATGAAAAACCCTTCAAAATATTAACGAATCCAGGAGCTGATTTTTTGAAAAAAATTAATAAAAAATAGAGTGCTAACTAGACTAATAAAGAAGAAAAGTGATAAGATTCAAATAAACACCGTCAGAAATGATAAGGGGGAATATTCTCACTGACCCCACAGAAATACAAACATCAGAGAACATTATAAACACCTCTATGCACATAAACTAAAGAATCTAGAAGAAATGGAAATTAGCTGGGTGTGGTGGCAGGTGCCTGTAATCCCAGCTGCTCGGGAGGCTGAAGCAGGAGAATTGCGTGAACGAGGTTGCAGTGAGCAGAGATCGCGCAATTGCACTCTAGCTCAGGTGACAGTGCAAGACTTCATCAAAAAACAAAACAAAACAAAAACAGAAAAAAAAAAAGAAAAGGAAAAAGAAAAAAAAGGATAAATTCCTGGAAACATACACCTTCTGAAGGCTGAACCAGAAAGAAATTGAATCCCTGAACAGGCCAATCATGAGTTCTGAAACTGAGGCAGTAATAAATAGCTTACCAACCAAAAAAAGCCAAGGACCAAATGGATTCACAGCTTAATTCTACCAGAGGTACAAAGAAGGGCTGGTACTATTTCTATTGAAACTATTGCCAAATAATTAGGAGGAGAGACTCCTCCCTAACTAATTCTATGAGGCCAGCATCATCCCAATACCAAAATTTGGCAGAGATACAACAGCAACAAAAATTCAGGCCAGTATCTATGATGAACAATGATGCAAAAATCCTCAATAAAGTACTGGCAAACAGAATCCAGCAGCACATTAGAAAGCTTATCCACCACAATCAAGTAGGCTTCATCCCAGGGATGCAAGGTTGATTCAACATATGCAAATCAATAAATGCAGTTAATCACATAGGCAGAACTAGAAACAAAAACCACATGATTATCTCAATAAATGCAGAAAAAAGCTTTCAATAACATTGAATATCTCTTCATGTTAAAAACTATCAATAAACTAGGTATTGAAGGAGCAAACCTCAAAATAATAAGAGCCATATATGACAAACCCACAGCCAACATCGTACTGAATGGGCCAAAGCTACAAGCAGTCCTTTTCAAAACCGACACAAAATAAGGATTCTTCTCTAATCACTCCTATTCAACATAGTATTGGAAGTGCTGGCCAGGGTAATCAGGCAAGATAAAAAAATAAAGCTCATTCAAATAAAAAGAGAGGAGGTCAAACTATCCCTGTTTGCAGATGACATTATTCTATATCTAGGAAATTCCATTGTCAAAGCCCAAAAGCTCCTTAAGCTGATAAGCAACTATAGCAGTCTCAGGATACAAAATCAATGTACAAAAATTGCTAGCATTCCTATACACTAACAACAGACAAGCCAAGAGCCAAGTCACAAATTACCACTCATTCACAATTACCACAAAATGAACAAAATACCTATGAATACAGCTAACTCAGGAGGTGAAAGATCTCTACAAGGAGAACTACAAACCACTGCTCTAAGAAATCAGAGATGACATATTCAAATGGAAAAAACATTCCATGCTCATGGATAGGAAGAATCAATATCATTAAAACGGCCATATTGCCCAAAGTAATTTATAGATTCAGTGCTATTCCTATTAAACTATTGTTGGCATTCTTCACAGAATTTGAAAAATCTGTTTTAAAATTCATATGGATCCATAAAAGAGCCCATATAACCAAGGCAATCCTAAGCAAAAAGAACAAAGCTGGAGACATCAAACTATACTATGAGGCTACAGTAATCAAAACAGCATGATACTGGTACAAGAACAGACATTGCGGTTTATTGTATATTATTGAATGACTTTGGCAACCCTACTGGCAAGAAACAATATTAAATTGAATCCTTACCCTTAACCAGCTTACTTCTTTTTATTTTCTTTGTTGTGAGATGAGAAATAGTTTTGACTGTAGTATCTTTTAATTCAGAAAAATAGACAAAAAGATCATATGCTATGCCATTCATCTAAAGACAATGGCTTGGTATGAATTTGGTGTAGCCTGTTTATGCTATGCACTTCATACATTTATTTTTATAATATAGTTCACCTATATATAATCACATGAGTATTTTCCCACTTGTCAGAAACTTATAATTCTTGATGACTGCTAATGTATGGATAGCATCCCTTGTTTTTGCTGAATTGTGGCTTAGTTACTCACTTCTGGTTAATGGACATCTAGTTTTTAATATATCTGATTTGTAAGTATTCTCTTTTTTTCTTTTAATTTGTGTAGCTGAAAAGCCCTGATGAAGGCTTTGAAGGCAAATCTCTTTATGAAAGTTGGACTAAAAAAAGTCCTTCCCCAGAGTTCAGTGGCATGCCCAGGTAAACAAATGAATGAAGTTTCCACTGAATTCAGTGTGGGATTGTTTTGAAAATAAAAGCACATTTTCTTTCAATCATTAAGTGAAAAATTAAGTTTCAAAATGGTCTAAAATCTGATAAAGAAAAGCATTACTTTGGTTCACAAATAAAATATTACTATGTGTTTTGTAGTTAAATCTGCAGGATATCAAAATGTGATTTCTCTTTAGAATATGTAATATATACATATGGAACATTTCAGCAGATTATAAAGATTGGTCATTTCTTATATGAAATGCGTGGGATGAGAAGTGTTTTGGACTTTGGATTTTTTTAAGATTTTGGAATATTTG
Organism: Homo sapiens; assembly: GCF_000001405.40. Classification (NCBI taxonomy): domain Eukaryota; kingdom Metazoa; phylum Chordata; class Mammalia; order Primates; family Hominidae; genus Homo; species Homo sapiens. Next base: position 49,157,619 of record NC_000011.10, on the reverse strand, counting down.
CATTATACTTACTGGTTGAACATGCCTAATCTGAAAATTCATAATCTGAAATGCTTCAGTTAGCATTTCCTTTCAGTGTCATGTAGGTGCTTAAAAACTTTTGGATTTTGCAGCATTTTTTAAAATGTTCTAATCTTTAATTTTTGTGAGTATGTAGTAGGTGTATTTATTTTTGGGGTGCATGAAATGTTTTGATACAGATTTTGGATTTTTGGATTAGGGATACTCAACCCATGATAGAGATAATGGTGAAAAGTAATTTTCCTCGTTTTTCTGCCACCTCATCACCTTGTAATTATCCTTTTTCTGAATATCATATAGTTAACAAATATTTTGCTTATTGCAATAAAAATGCAAGCATCATTTCAACATTGGTTGTATCTTCACAAGCAAGGGAAGAAGAATAAATATCTCAGTGCTCTGAGTTTATCGATGTCAACAGCACTATTTATATTATTAAGGGCAAAATTTATGTCCAAATTATCTGAAAAATATTTGCTTTTCACTCTATTATGTACAACAAATAAAGATGATAAATGGAATGAAATAATCTTAAGGAAAATGTTTTCCAACTTCAGAAACCTTTAACAAAATGTGACATAAAATAGTCATTCCTACACGAAATAGTCTCATAGAAGGAGATATTTTGTGATCAAAATTAATATTCTTTTCATGTTTTTGCTGCATGTCTAAAGCTGTATGTTTAAAATTACATTTATAATAGTAAGAATGGGGTTTAGTTTAATGGACATGTAATCTGTGCTTAATGAACAAATTACTTTGAAATAATTCTGTTGTTTTATCTCTAAAAGGATAAGCAAATTGGGATCTGGAAATGATTTTGAGGTGTTCTTCCAACGACTTGGAATTGCTTCAGGCAGAGCACGGTATACTAAAAATTGGGTAAGTGAATCTCAAATTATCTAAGATTATTTATGAATATGTTTTAACTAAACAAATAATTCTGACTCCAAAAAGTGACTCAAGCATTAGAGGAATAGAGAAATTTGAAAGCAGAGGGAGAAGTCTCAATGGTTGACAGTATCACTACTACGTAGGATAACTCCTATATCTTGTATTCCAACCCTAAATTCAAGTGTCAGTTGGTATCAATACTCATGTCTGCAAATGTGAACTTCTGTGTACTCCTTTAAACATATTTTCTGTTTCATTTGGTGGCATTGCATTCACTCAGTCATTTAAGTTGGAAATGTAGGAATTGTCTTTGATTTCACCCTCCTCCTTATTCAAAATTAGTATCTCCCCATTATCATTCAAAATTAATGAGTGTATTTGGATTTCCATCTCTTACTGTATCTCCAATTATTAAACAAATAACAAGTCATTAAACAAATGAAAAATGATATATATATTAGTCTGTTTTCCTGCTCCTAATAAAGACATACCCGAGACTGGGTCATTTAAAAGGGAAATATGTTTAATTGACTCACAGTTTCATATGGCTGGGGAGGCATCACAATCATGGCTGAAGGTGAGTGAGGAGCAAAGTTACATCTTACCTGGCAGCAGGCAAGAGAGCATATACAGGGGAACTTCCCTTTATAAAACCATCAGCTCACATGAGACTTATTCACTATCACGAGAGCAGTGCAGGAAAACTCGTCCCCCATGATTCAATTACCTCCCATAAAGTCTCTCCCATGACACGTGGGGATTATCATAATTCAAGGTGAGATTTGGGTGGGGACACAGAGTCAAATCATATCAGTATAATACACTGTGTACGTGTAAAAGTCATGATTCCCTTTCTTTTGTTGTTGATTATATATATATATATATATATATATATATATATATATATATGGTTTTCATTTTCTTCAAAGTAAATTGGGTACATAGTTTATAAAATGTCAAGTAGTTTTATAAGAACAGTGGTTTATAATTAAAAACAGTTGTTTCTTATTTCCATTTCATATTCATACCACCCCTGATTTCTGTTCATCAGATGAAACCTTTGTCAACTTTTATGATACATCCATATTTATAAGTAATATTTTAATCCTGATACTTTTTCAATTTTAAATTTTATGTTATAAAGAAAAATCATTCTCACAGTTATAAAAATGGTAAGGAAGAGTTCATTCAAAACTATTCCAATAAGAATATTGCAATAATAAGAGATCGAGCTCAACTCCAAATACAGAAAAGACATTTGGTGATTTAGAGTTGACATTAAGTTTCTGTAAGCCTTTCCTCATGGGCTATTCTTCCCAGATGGAAAATCTTCAGTCTCCTGTCTGTGAGGTAGGAGGTTAGGCAGAGTTATGCAGGAGGTGATAGTGAGGATAAATATTAATATTGTCTACATTTTACTACGAAAAAATTACAACAAAGAAAAGTCAAATGACCACCTAAAGTTTTTGGTAGTAAGTCCTGAAGCCTAGATTCAAACCCTGGCAGGGTAATTCCAGAATCCCAGTCTCTTCAACACATCAGTACATAAAATGTCCTTTTATATTAATAATAAAAAATAAGCATCTTAAGATGATCAAAAGTGATAAACCAGCAATTCACAGTTTGAAAAGTCCTTCCTTCTACCTATACTTTTGGTTTTCCTGACACCTGTCTGGGCCTCCCTTCTCTCTCCTTAGTGAGATTTTGGATCCACTACTGCACCCCTCACCACTCAGACTCTCCAGCCTTCAGTACACTGCTTGTCAGACAATCATTTATCCATGGAATTTTAGTGATTAAGCAATTTAGTGTCTTCTCCTATATAATATTGTGTAATACTTATGTACTTGCCTTTAACAATTCGTCTTCTTTTTATCCAAATGCAAGATTGTCTTGTCTTTTTTTTCAGATTCTTAAAACATGAATCTAAGAATGCAATGTTCTGCATTCTTAGAGGCAAGCCAGTTTGGTCCCTTTCAAATAATTTTTAAATAATATTTGTTATATCATATACACATATTTTAATTGATACAAGCCTGGAATGTGTTTATGTATCATAATATTAGCCATTTAGGATGTAGCTTATTGAGATGCTTAAGTACTTTCCTTGATCCATCACTGACCAATCTTACTAATACTAATAGTAAATATGGTGCTAATCATTTTTTGTAAGCTATCCTATAAGAGATATGTTTTGTTGTTTTTTCTGTAGGAAACAAACAAATTCAGCGGCTATCCACTGTATCACAGTGTCTATGAAACATATGAGTTGGTGGAAAAGTTTTATGATCCAATGTTTAAATATCACCTCACTGTGGCCCAGGTTCGAGGAGGGATGGTGTTTGAGCTAGCCAATTCCATAGTGCTCCCTTTTGATTGTCGAGATTATGCTGTAGTTTTAAGAAAGTATGCTGACAAAATCTACAGTATTTCTATGAAACATCCACAGGAAATGAAGACATACAGTGTATCATTTGGTATGTTACCCTTCCTTTTTCAAATTCCTCATCTGTATGGTTCTATTAATCTCCTAAATATAATGGGCTATCTTAGGTCATTTATTATTTATTGCTATTTCAAGTGATCCAATATTCTGTTTATGTCTATAAATGTATTTTCCATTTTATGGATGCTCACGTCTTATAATATAAAAATATAAATACCTTGTAAAACACAAAAGATGATGGCTTCTATATTGTTCCTTTTCTTGAACTATAGAGCAGTGCCATTAGAAATTATGTTCTTTAAGCATTTGATGATCCCAATTTCTATTTCAGATTCACTTTTTTCTGCAGTAAAGAATTTTACAGAAATTGCTTCCAAGTTCAGTGAGAGACTCCAGGACTTTGACAAAAGCAAGTATGTTCTACATATATGTGCATATGTGTGTATGTGTGTGTATATATATATATTTAAAAGTAAACTAACATGACTGTTGCTGAACTAGCTTTGGGAATTTCTTGCTGTTTTCTTTTTTTTAAATTTGTTTTACTTTAAGTTGCTGGATACATGGACAGAACGTGCAGGTTTGTTACATAGGTATACAAGTGTCGTTTCCTGCTGTTTTCTGTCTTTCCACTCTAGCACGTCCTATGTAGGGCTGCCCCATCTCAAAAGACCTACTTTCGACATTCTGAGTGGCAATTGTGCCGCTCAGAAATGTCAGTCCCTCCCTCCTGACATTTGATCAGTTACAAAATACTCTGCTTAACATTGAAGGTCCTCTACTGTGTGACCCCAGCTGTTTCCAGTTTTATTTCTTGCTTTTTCAGTATCTGTACATCATAACTCAGCCAGACTATTTATTTTTCAAAACATGATTTCTTTCTACCTCCTTTGTTTTTGTCATTACCTCCACATAGAGCTCCTTATTTCCACTTCCATCTGGCAAAATTCTGTTTATCCAGAATAGCAAATATTGTGAAGCCATTAATTTTGGAAATGTTAAACATTTAGGATTAATTCTGTGTAAGATTACACAAGTACAACACAATTTGAACAAAATTTTAAGATGGAAGGAAAAATACTTGGTGAGAATACTAAGGTAATTTTTTTAAAGTATAATTTTGAGGGCAGAGATCTGTGTATTAAATATAGTATCATGATATAAATATCAAATCCCCAGGAGCTGATGTAAGGACACATAAAAAGATTACAGTAGATGATGTAGAAATAGGCTTGGTGATCTATAAGGAAATATTAGTAATAAATGATACAGCAAAAATTAATGGGGAAAGATTACTCAACCATAATATTATATGAACTATGTTAGTACCTGCTATAACTGCTATAAAAGTAAATTCAGAATCGCACTTCACATTGTATGCTAACATAAACAACAGGTGTAAAGAATTATTTAGTAAAAATGGAAATTTCTTGAAAGATGCCAAGTTTAGAAGCAATGGGGAAATGATGCAATCAGATTTGAGACCATTTGAAATGGTTCAGAATACGAAAATTAATATTCACAAGAAAAATTAAGAAAGTTGAAAACTTATTTTCTAGCAAAAATGGAGAGTAATATATACATTATAAAAATATTTTTTGAAAATTAATTTAAACAGTCCAAAAGAACCAGCTGAAAATATCGGTAAGAAACAAGACAAATAATTTTACAAATGTTGTCAAAGATACACCTGCAAAGAAACATGGCAAAATATTGCAGTTCACTAATGCATAATTCAGAAATACAAATGAAAGTAATGTGATGTTATTTTTATAACACATTAATAACAATTTAAACCTTGGTTTGCCCATTGCTGTAGCTGGTACACTGAAGCATATGCTCTCCATGCTTTTCTGATAGCATTATGAATTATTTTAGCCTTTTTGAAAAAGATAGATACATATTGCTAATGTGTTCAAGAGCTGTCACAGAGTCCTGTGCTTTGACATAGTATTTCCACTTCTTGGATTATTTCTTAGGAAAAAGTCTCAATTTTGGAAAAGAAAGGCTGCCTGGAGAAAGATTTGAAGTATAAAATTATAATAGCAAGTAATTCAAAATAACCTAATGCCTAAGAGAAGAGAAATTACTAAAAAATTTGATATTCACCAATTTGAACATTTTATAATCCTAACAATGGATTATTAGAAATACAACATAATAGAAGATACTTAGAATAAAATATGAAGTAAGCAAAAAGGTTGTAAAATTGTAAATATAATTTGATTAATTTTTATTTAACAAATACAGGAAAAACTTTAAGGGAATTAATGAATTATTATAATAATTGTGCTATCCTCAGGGAATATTGGAAGAATTGTTTTCCTATTCTTTTCAATTCTTTATAATTTTTATATGTGAGTAAAAAAGTCAACAATAAGAAATACATTTTAAGGAGATCCCAAACACCATGTATCCTATAAAACTGGTTTTCTTTTTGTATTTAAAAGAAAAAATGTTTTCTCCCTCTGACAAAATGTCTCATGGTTTGAATTGTGGTTTGTTTAGGACACTTATTGTTTGGCACACTCAGCTTCCCCTTCCTTTAGTATTTCTATATTTGTTTTATTTTCTGTAAGTGATAGTAAAGATACACTCTGTTCCCTATATGATACTTACAAATTCTGAAACACCTGAGCAGTGCTTTGCACATAATAGTAAATTCTGACTAAGTAAATTAAACTGAATGTTGAATTTCTCAACCAAAACTTTGAAATCTAAGGAAGAGACATGACTTTATCCTGCTTTTCTTGTATCACTTCTTGCCCCATCAAAGAATATAAGACGTTAACACAGGATACAGAGAAAGAGAAGTGTGTGTGTGTGTGTCTGTGTGTGTGTGTGCACGCACGCGCACGCGCGCATTTACGTGTGTGTGGCCACGAGTTTTTGTACTTGTAGCAATTCTTTGTGAATTTGATTCCGAAACCCATTGCATCTTATTGAAATTATCCTTCATTCGATTGTCTCAACTGTTTATCGGAGTTGCTAACAGGTATTCTGTGTTTCATTTACCTTTATACTATCACAGAATCTGAATTCATGATGCCAAATACATAAATGTTAAAAATAGCTCAAATCCAAATTATGGGAGTTTAAGTTGTTCCTATTTTCCTTTTGTCGGCAAGGTGCAGTTGAAAGAACAATATCAATCTCCTATTTCACTCTAAAACTTTCTAGTGTGAATTTAGGCAAGTTATTTAACTCATGATCCTTTGTTATCTCATCTACAAAATGGGGCTGTTACCCTACCCAACTTGCAGAATTGCTCTGAAAATTAAAAATCACATTTTGTATAAAGATTCAGAACAGTAATTGGCACATAGGAAATGATCACTAAATGCTCTTT